>NW_025791805.1:0-187626 GCF_000001405.40 Homo sapiens | reverse complement strand
ATCACCACCACCATCACCATCACCATCATCACCATCACCACCATCACCACCACCATCATCACCATCACCATCATCACCACCACCATCACCACCACCACCATCATCACCACCACCACCATCACCATCACCACCATCACCATCACCACCGCCATCACCACCATCATCACCATCACCATCATCACCACCATCACCATTATCACCATCACCACCATCACCACCATCACCACCATCACCACCATCATCACCATCACCACCATCATCACCATCACCATCATTGTCGCTGCTGCCACCACACTGTCACCACCGTCCTCACCTCCACTTCCACGCCACCATGCACATCACACCACAATGCCACGGCCACGGCCATGACTGCCACTTTGAGTCTGCTTTCCAAGCTGTCCATATACAAATGCCTAAAGGTCTAGTGTCTTTGGCTTCCATGGAGGA
The DNA here is from genome assembly GCF_000001405.40 of Homo sapiens. Taxonomy (NCBI): domain Eukaryota; kingdom Metazoa; phylum Chordata; class Mammalia; order Primates; family Hominidae; genus Homo; species Homo sapiens. The sequence continues at coordinate 187,179 of NW_025791805.1, read as the reverse complement.
AGCATTCTCACTGCCACTGTCCCACTTACCCCCTTTAACCACCTAAGGATTGCCACATGCCCGGCCTGGGCCCAGGCCAGCAGGCATTACAGCTGGACTGTGGGCTGTGATAGGAAGGAAGGGCCATGGCCGTGCATCCACAGTTGAATTCTCACTCCTGGGACCCTGTCACTGCTGGGACAGGCCCGAGGATGCCAACTGCAGGTGCAGGACCCCATAGCCATGGCTGGGCTCCCCTCTCCATGCACAGGGTGGGGCCTCTGCCATCTGGCCCCAGAGTGTCAGTGTACCCAGGGGGCCTGGACATCCGTCAGGGTGGGGGCTTGGTGGGCACCTGGGAGCTGCCAGGAGACAGGGGAGCTCTCCTTGCCCAGCTGATGCTGGTCTGGAAGGACCTGAGTTGGGAGGAGGAGCTCCATGCACCCGGCTCTCCCCACCTCGCCTTTTCAGACCACCTCCGAGCCACTCTGGGGTGCATGGAGCCAGGAGCCCAGGTGGGTAGTGACTGCCCGGGCCAGGGCTTTTCCCTCAGAGCTCAGCTTGTGGGGAAGGAGGAACTGCTGGGGTTCACCCCATAGGCGGTGGAGGGAGTCACACAGACAGGCAACTGGTGACCTGGGAACTGGGGAGAGCCAGGCCACGCCCCACTGGGGCAGGGAGGTGCCTCCCCACCAGGAGCCCAGGCCCCGGGTAAAGCTGCCTGCCCACCGTGTCCTCCATCACTGGAGCTGACCTTAAGCCCCCCCACTCCTGAGGACACGAGGCTCCACTGGTCAGGCACGTGGTGGTGCTATCCCCGCCCGATCCCCAGCTCCCTGCCCTACCCTGGGCTCCTCCCCAATTTCCTTTAAAGTCCAGAAAATGCAGCCGGGCACGGTGGCTCACGCCTGTAATCCCAGCACTTTGGGAGGCCGAGGTGGACAGATCACAAGGTCAGGAGATCAAGACCATCCTGGCTAACACAGTGAAACCCCGTCTCTTCTAAAAAATACAAAAAATTAGCCGGGCGTGGTGGCGGGCGCCTGTAGTCCCAGCTACTCGGGAGGCTGAGGCAGGAGAATGGCGTGAACCCGTGAGGCGGCGCTTGCAGTGAGCCGAGATCACGCCACTGCGCTCCAGCCTGGGTGACAGAGCGAGACTCTGTCTCAAAAAATAAATAAATAAATGAAGTCCAGAAAATGGGGTGGAGAAAAAGAAGGGGAGATATGGACCCCCCACAGCCTCCTGCCCACATGCCCCTCATGGCACCAGGCCAGGCTGTGGGCCTCCTGCCCCTGCTGGGCACTGCCCATCGCCTGGCCCACACCTCTCCAGTCTCAGACTCCGCAGCTGCCCAGGGCTTGGCTGAGACATTCTCCAGCTATGCTGAGAAAGGCCAGGAACCCTTGCCTCTGACCCTGAAGCCACCACCCCTCAGTGGGGGTCGCCTGGGCATGGCCCGAGGCCCACCCACCTACACCCTGAGTGGCCACACATGTCCCACATGGACCCCCAGCCCAGAACAGACATGTGAACGCACAGACACGATACCACTCCCCGTGAGACCCCCACGGCCTCCTCCCTGAAGCAGGGGGGTCCCAGCACCCCTCAGGAGGTCGCCACCTGTGCCCTCCCTACCTTGCCGCACAGAGACGTAGCGGTGGTTGGCAGCCACCAGCACCACCTGTGGGTGACTCTCCTCCAGATCAAAGAGCTCATCCTTGCCAGGTCGCGTGTTTCGGCCGGCCTTGAGGGTGCCTGCGGGCCCCACGGGTGCCAGGTAGTGGCCGTCGCAGTCCTTGAAGGCCAGCTTGCCCGCCTTGAACTCCAGCGTGTAGCAGGCACGGGGCTCAGGCTCCCAGACCAGACGGCCGTCGCTGCGCAGGTAGCGGCTGTCACAGGACTTGAGGCAGTACCGTCGGCTCCGGAAGATGAGGGTGAGGAGGGCGTCCACGCCCCAGGGCTTGTCTCCGTCTGCGGCCATCTCGTCCTCCCGCGGGCACAGGTGCACGTAGCGCCGCCGGCTCACGCTCAGCAGGTGGGCCTGCGGGTGGATGGCCAGGTGCACGGTCCACAGCTCGGCCGGGGAAACGGCTGTGGCGAAGCAGGACAGCTGGTCCTCGGTGCCTCCGAAGAAGCGGCCGTGCGGCTCGGACCGCAGCACCCAGCGCCCATCTGGCTGCGGCAGGACCAGGAAGCGGCAGTCACGGCCCGGCTGCTCTGCCTCACAGGCCACGCGCCCGTCCTCTTCTGCCGACAGGTAGCGGCCCAGGTGGCTGCTGCGGAGCAGCACAGCCGTGCCTTGTCCTGGGTCGGGTTCCAGCACCCAGGTCTGCTTCCTCTTGAGGCTGGGTGCCGAGGCATTGACCTTGAAGCCGAAGCTCTCAGCTGTCAGGTAGCGGTCAGTGTCGTTGACGAGGCCAAACTGGATCTTCAGCACCTGGTGCAGGCCGTTCGTCGGCATCTTCAGGCTGGCCGGGTCCCCGGAGGGGCCTGGGATGCGCCCTCTGAGTGCTCACGGCCCCCGCGGTCCCCCAGAAGCCCGGGTCGGCTCGGCTGGCCCACAGCCCCCAGACCCAGCCGGCGTCACGAACCCCCTGCCTGCTCTGACCCGCCTCTGACCCGCGGCAGCAGCCTGGGCAGCTCTTAGAGGGCCCGCGGGCAGCAGAGGGCGGGCGGGGAGGGCGGATCAGAGACGTGCGGCTTAGGAGCAGCACCTTTCATTACCCTCAGCTTGGATTTCAGCCACTCCCGGATTGCACAGAGCCCAGAGCCCGAGGGCCTGAGGGCCTACGGGGCTGGAGGGCAGGGTTGATCCCCTTTTCCTCATAGCGTGGGCCCAGCGCCCCTCTTCACGGCCCTGCACCTTTTGGCCTCTCTCGTTCCTGCCCCCCTCCTCCAACCCCGTGTGGGCTCCCGGCCCGGCCCGGCCCAGCCCTTCCGGATGTAGAAGCCGTCCAGTGGAACGCTCACGGCTCGGCCGCAACCTGATCGCCGCCCGTACCCTCGGTGGCCGCCAGGCCCTCAGCTGGATCCAGTTACTGCTTCTCTGATTCCTGCTGCCAGAAGCATAGCAAGGACCCCAGCCACAACCTGCAGCCCAGGTCGCCTCCACCCCAGACCGGCCTCTGGCCACACTGCTCAGGCCCCAGAATGACGCACTGGACTGCCACCCACGCTGGAGGGTGGAACACAGTGGCCGTGCAGCCCTGCAGGCAGGGGGCAGAGTCAGAGGCCCTGGGCCAGGCTGGCCCGGCCCCAGCGCACTCCTGTGCGCTCTGAGCAAGTTGCTGGGCCCTGAGGCTGCCCCCTCCTCTGCTGTGAGCTGGAGTGAAGCCAGCCTCACTTCACTTTGGAGTCTTTACGGATGTGGATCCAGGAGGCTGGTGGGACGATGTCCACCCCATGCTCCCAGCGGTGGCCCTTGGAATCTGGGAGAGGATGAAGGCCAGCAGGCCGGGAGAGACTGGAAGTGGTCACACCTGTCTACAGCACCTCCTTGCTCTGGGCCACCTGGCTGTACCCCTTCCCCAGAGCCTGAGGGGCACTGGGCCCTGCTCACCGTGCCTGGCTCCTGCACCTGCCTCAGGGGCTTGGGGCCAAGTAGTGAAACCAGAGCTGGCCACCCTGGGCCAGGGCCAGCCCGGTGTCCTCTTCCTCATAACAGCGTGTGACCCTCCCGTCTCCCTGGGGACTGGGAACAGGGGCCACAGGCCCCTTCCGGTCATGGCCTGGAGTCACTCCCCTGTCCTCCTGGGCCCATCTCCTGAGTGGCCATCATGGGGGTCCCCGTAGGGCAGGAGTCTAGCCAAAAGCAAGGGGCCTGGGCTGGGCACCTGTGGGCTCCAGAGGTGGGCAGGGCCATGGTGGCAGAGTGTGCACAGACTCAGGGGCTCTTCCTCTGTCCTCTAAGCCCTGGACAGCAACCGTGCCAGGCACCTGCAGACACAGGGGAGGAAAAAGAGGAGACCTGTCCCCACTGTCCCCACGCTCAGGGGCCAGGGTGGGGGCAGAGAGACTCCCACATGCAAATACCCCCCAGGGCACAGCGTACGCCACGACGCCAGGGCCTGCTCTCGCCTCTCCCTGTGTGCTGGCCTCATCCGCCTCTATGATTCACACGCATTTATGAGGCACCAACTGTGTGCGAAACCAGGTCACGTGCCAGGCACCATCCTGGGGAGACGCAGTCTGGGGTTTCACCCCCTTCCCAGAGACGATGCCCACACACACTCTCCCACAGTTTCCAGGGGACTGAGGACACAGGCCTAGCACCGATGCCAGGGAACTGTCTCTGGTTTAGGGATACAAGCTAGGGTGCTGCCTGCACCTCACTTTCCCATTGGCTCTTCTTTTTAAAAAACTTTTTTCTTGAAATAGGGTCTCGCTCCTCACCCAAACTGGAGTCCAGTGGCGCAATCTTGGCTCACTGGAACCTTCGAGCTCAAGCAGTCCTCCTGCCTCAGCCTCCCAAGTAGCTGGGATTACAGGCACTTGCTACCGTGCCCGGCTAATGTTTGTATTTTTAGTAGAGATGGGGTTTCACCATGTTGCCCAGGCTGGTCTCGAACTCCTGACCTCAAGTGATCTGCCCGCCGCGGCCTCTGAAAGTGCTGGGATGATAGGCGTGGCCACTGCGCCCGGCCTCCCGTTGGATTTTGAGGGTACAGCTCGGTTGGTCCGTGAGCGGTGGGGGAAGCCGGAGGGGCAGCTGTGCCCATGGTCCCCCCCACCCCAGGCACAGACACTGGCTTCACCTCCACACCCCAACGCCCAGCCAGGCTGAGGAGGAGCCCAGGCGGCCTGCCCCTCTGATTGGCACGACGGCCTCATTAGCGCTGTCTGGGCTGGCAGGGCGCTTAGGCATCGGGTGCTCAGCAGGGGGAAGCCTGGCCGCCCGGCACTAAGTGGGCCTGGCTCTGGGCAGCCTCTTGGTGGCAGAGCCAGAAATGATGGCGGCTCCTCAGTTCTAGGGCCCCACAGCTCCACGTTGGGTGGGGCTGCCTGGCACTGACCCAGCTGTGTGAGCTAAACAGGGGAGGGTGACTGAAGGGTGGGCGCCTGGGCCAGGCTTCCTTGGAGGGAGGCCGTTTACAGGGATTCCAGCCCCTCCTGCCTCCACCTCAGGACCCCAGGCTGTTGCCCAGCCACCTGCTAGGATCGCTTCCTCTGGATTCTCAGCAAAATTTCTGGCACACAGCAGGTACTTAATAAGTGCCTGAGATTGTTGGATGTCGGGAGTCTGGTTATTATTAATTATTTTATTTTTTTCAGACAGAGTCTCACACTGTCACCCAGGCTGGAGTGCAATGGCACAATCTTGGCTCACTGCAACCTCTGCCTCCCAGGTTCATGTGATTCTCCTGCCTCGGCCTCCCGAGTTGCTGGGATTACAGGCGCCTGCCACCATACCCAGCTAATTTTTTTTGTATTTTTTAGTAGACACGGGGCTTCATTATGTTGGTCAGACTGGTCTCGAACTCCTGACCTTGTGATCTGGCCTCCTCAGCCTCTCAAAGTGCTGGGATTACAGCCGTGAACCACCAGGCACAGCCTTTTTTTTTTTTTTTGAGACAGAGTCTTGCTCTGTCGCCCAGGCTGGGGTGCAGTGGCGTGATCTCAGCTCACTGCAACCTCCACCTCCCAGGTTCAGGCGATTCTCCTGCCTCAGCCTCCCAAGTAGCTGGGACTACAGGCGCCCACCACCACGCCCCGCTAGTTTTTGTATTTTTAGTAGAGATGAGGTTTCACCATGTTGGCCAGCATGGTCTCAAACACCTGACCTCAGGTGATCCACCTGCCTCGGCCTCCCAAAGTGCTGGGATTACAGGCGTGAGCCACCGTGCCTGGCCGTCTGGTTCTTTTTATTTATCTTAGAGACAGGGTTTTGCTCTGTCACCCAGGCTGAACTGCAGTGGCGCTATCTTGGCCAGTGGCAGCCCCGAACTCCTGGGCTCCGGCGATCCTCCCACCTTGGCCTCCTGAGCAGCTGGGACCCCAGCACAGGGCCGGGTTCTTGTATGATGGGCTGAGCCTCTGCCCATGGGTGCAGCGTTGTGCATGTGTGTGAGTGTGGTGTGTGTGTGTGTGTGTGTGTGTGTGAAGGTGCTCATGGATGAGGGTGGGCAAAGGTTGCCAGAAGAGTCGCCTGCTGGGCCAACTCTGGACCCTGGGACTGTCATCCTGGATCCCAGCCTGAGAGCCTACTCAGGGCTGCCCAGCAGGGAGCCCAGGTTGTACACTGCCCAAGGGAGGCTATTTCCAGGGTCCCACTCATACTCCAGACATACACAACTCACAAGAGCATATGGTGGGCTGGGGCACTCTAGCCCCCTGCAGTGTTCTCAGGCAACAGGAAGCACCCCTCCCACTGACCCTCACCAAGCCCTGTGGCCACACCTCCGGAGGTGCCAACCAACCACTCACATGGGATACACACGTGCCTGCCACCCTGACCTGTGCAGGCTGCACTGTGGCGACATTCAAAGGCGCTGCCACACTGAGGGCTCCACGCCCCACCCTCGCCCACCTCTGAGGCTGGTGGAAGCCCCTGCCCAGTGTGTGCCTGAGGCCCAAGCTGAGGTCTGCACCTGGGAGGGGGTGCCTTGTCCCGGTGGGCAGTGAGAGGCTGTTTGGGGTAGCAGTACCCCCAGCCCCCTGGTCCAGGGAGCAGCCAGCTGTGACAGACTTCCTGGCCTCACCTGAGCCCAGAGGGCAAGGAATGCCTCAGCCATCAGAATCCCCTGGCAGCCTCCCGAGGCCTGAGCCTCGGCCTCCATCCCTCTCAGTGCGGGGCCAGCTGGGCAGGACCAGGAAGCCATGCGCCCCCACCGGCACCTGGTGTCCACCCTCAGGTTTCCCGAGAGCCCTTAGGAAATCGTTCCCTTTCTGAGGTGCTGGTGGACGGGCTGTCCTGGTGCTCCAGGGTCCCCCTTCCCCTCCCCGAGTTGGCCCGTCTGGTGCTCCAAGGGGAAGGACCCCAAGCCCCCCATGCCTAGACCACTGATCCTGGATGCTTGAGCCCAGCCTGGGCTCCTGCTGGCACGCTGTCTGCTGCCATGGTGACCGGCACGTGCTCCAGGCTGGATGCCCTGCAACGCTGATGCTGGTGGTGTGAGCTGGCACAGGCCTGCGTGTGTGCAGCTGGGGGAGAGGTGGCTCCTCGCCCTGCTGGACTGGAGCCCTGAAAACTGGGAAATGGAGCCCTGGGGCCACCCCGCGGCTGAGGACCACGCCTTTCACAGGCCAGCAGTGCCTGCAGCCCTCCCTGCAGGCATCGGAGGAGCCCCCACCTCAGTGCCAGGCCCTGACCGCTGCCACTCCTGTTGGCATCCCTGTCTCCAGTGATTCCCAGGTACTCCACCCTCCCCCTTGTCCCCGTGCCAAGCCCCTGCCTAGGCTCTGTTGTCCCCTTGGCCCTGCAGCCAGGTGAGGGCCACCCTGCTGGGCACACCGGGCCTTGATGTCCTCACTCCTGGCCCAGCACCTACTCCCAGGGGCCCAGCCCCGGGTGTTATTCCTGAGCACAGACCTGCAGCCTGGCGACCTCATGATTTTTTCATGGCTGAGCTATCGGCTCCGCTGCAGTTCCACTTACACGGGCGAGGGGGCCGCACTTCTCTTTCTCTGGCCTGGGTTGGTTTACTGAGGCCAGGTTTAGGGTGACAGGCTCCATCGGCAAGGCAGGGGGCAGGGCAGGGTTGGAATGAAGAGCTTGGGGAGGGGCTCTCCAGCGTGGCTGCCTGCCTGCTCCGAGAATCCCCCTCCCCTCCCTGCCCCTCCCCGAAAGCAGCTTCCCGAACTGCAGTTGGGGTTCACGGCTGGCTGCTCCGGAGCCTCGCCTTGGAACTCTCAGGGCAGACAGCCCACACAGTCTGCTGGCTTTTGTCTTCTGTGAAATCATAAGGTGCTGGTGGGGGGCTGTGCCTGGAAGGGGAGGGGAGGAAGAGGGCTCTAGGCCTTGCCAGAAAACTCTGGACCCCAGCAAGGACAAAAGTCCCCAAAGGGACCCCGAGGGCAGAAGCGAAGGTGTCTGGACAAGCCCAGATGCCTCACAACCACTGGGGCGATGGAGCCTCCAACCCCTGAGCCCCAGGACCTTTGCACATGCAGGGGACAGGAGGAGAGTGTTCATGAAAATCCCATGAGCCCCTGGCTGCTTGGGGCTTAGAGTGACGAACAGATCAACTTTCAGAGAAGAGATGGCTGTCTACAGCCCAGCTGGACTTACACACAGGGGCACACCACAGACATGGACACCTGGCGTGAACGAGCCCACAGGTCTGCAGGTGGCGGCCTCTGCCCAGCCCCTGCGAACCTGCATCTACACACACACACAGGTGTACATACGCCCTGCCCACGTGTAATGCCACGTCCACCCGCAAGTTCAGTCACGTAAGAACCAACCATCACAGGCACTTAGGGAGTGCCAGGTGTGCCAGGAACCGTGCTGGGGAAAGGAAAGGAATTAACTCTACCTCTGACTTCTGGGACAAAACAGAAACGGACCATTTATCACTCTACGGTGAGAAGGGCTCTGCACATGGTCACCATCGTGGTGTCACCCAGCTCCCTTGGGGACAACGCCACGCCACTCAGCTCCATGCATTCAAGTTGGTCTGCTTTCTAAAAAAGTCTCATTGCCTATAGTTAATGAAATGGTGCAGAGAACAAGAGAGGCCTTGGGAATTAAAAGTATGATAGTTTGGCCGGGCTGTAATTCAAGCACTTTTGGAGGCCGAGGCAGGCGGATCACGAGGTCAGGAGTTCGAGACCAGCCTGCCCAACATGGTGAAACTGCATTTCTACTAAAAATACAACAAATAGCTGGGTGTGGTGGTCCACGCCTGTAATCCCAGCTACTCAGGAGACTGAGGCAGGAGAATTGCTTGAACCCAGGAGACGGAGGTTGCAGTGAGCCGAGATCGTGCCACTCTACTCCAGCCTGGGCAACAGAGTGCAGAGTGAGACTCCGTTTCAAAAAAAAAAGTTTATGACAACAAAACGTTATAACGTGATTTTGGATTAGATGAGGAAAACACACTACGGAGGACATTTCTGGGACAAGTGTCATTACCGAAGTTGTATGATCCACGCCATCATTGCCTGTCAATTGGATAAACAGTGTGATACTGATGTTGCCTGATTTTGATCACTGTTCTGTGGTTATAGAAGAAAACATCCTTGTTCTTAGGAAACACACCCTAAAATAGTAAGGGCATCATGCCTGAAACCTGCTTCCAAAGGGCTCAGAAATAGAAGGAGAATGATAAGCAAATGTGTCAAGATGTTTAAAACGAGGTAAGTTTGAAATTTCAAAACAAAGGCTGGGTGTGGTGGCTCACATTTGTAATCCCAGCATTTTGGGAGGCCAAGTCGGGTGGACTGCTGGAACCCAGGAGTTCAAGACCAGCTTGGGTAACATGGCAAAACCCTATTTCTACTACAAATACAAACATTAGCCAGGCATGGTGGCATACACCTGTAGTCCTGGCTGCTGGGGGATGGAGAGGGCTGAGGTGGGAAGTTTGCTTGAGCCTGGGAGGTCGAGGTTACAGTGAACTGAGATGGCACCAATGCACTCTAACCTGGATGACAGAATAAGACCTTGTCTCAAAAAAAAAAAAAAAAAAGCTGGGCTTGGCTTATGCCTGTAATCCCAGGACTCTGGGAGGCCAAGGCGGGTGGATCACCTGAGGTCGGGAGTTTGAGACCAGCCTGACCAACATGGAGAAACCCTGTCTCTACTAAAGATACAAAAATTAGCCAGGCGTGGTGGCACATGCCTGTAATCCCAGCTACTAGGGAGGCTGAGGCAGGAGAATCGCTTGAACCTGGGAGGGAGAGGTTGCGGTGGGCCAAGATCGCACCATTGCACTCCAGCCTGGGCAACAAGAGTGAAACTCTGTCTCAAAAAAAGAAAAAAAAATTTCAAAACCAAAAGGTTAAAAACTATAATAAATAAAATGAAAAACTCCGCTGAAGGGTTAGAAGTCAAGGAAATATCCCAGAAGGTTTAAAAAAGTAGACAGAAGAAAAAAACTAGAATATTAGAGAATAAATCCAGAAGGTATAATGCCCAATTAACAGAAATCCCAAAACAGAAGAACAGAAAACAAAAGAAAGAAATTGTAAAAGAAATAATACAAGCAAATTAGCAAGAACAGGGCCTAGGAAGTAGCCAAGATAATGAATGCAAAAGCATCACCAGGGACATGAAGCAGTTTTAGATCAGCAAGGAAAAGCCTGAAGGCTCTTAGAGAAACACAACACCTGGACTCTGGATCAGGAATCCAGTGACATTCATTTCTCATCAGCAGCAGTGCCAGCAAGAGACAGGGACTAAGCGTTCAAAATCCCAGGCCAGTTCTCAACTTGAAATTCCATCTCTCACCAAACTGCCAGTTCCAGGGGTGTGAGCTCAAGGCACTTGCCGATACGCAAACTCAACACTGACTCGGGGGCTCACCTTCCCAGCTTGGTGACGCCCCCAAAGGATGCCTTGTCCTAAGGACTGGAGGAAATGGGGCTTGTCAAGGTGCTGGGCACAGTTAACCTTCAAGAGAGCCCAAGGTGTGTGTGGGTGGGGGCCAGGCATAGGGGGCTCCCCAGGGTGATTCCCTCCCACAGACCAAGTGGACACATGGGTTGGGCCAACCATGATCCTTCCCTGGGCATGGTGTGACCCCAGCTCGGGCCTCTCCACCTTCAGGGTCACCTCCTGAGTGTGTTCTCCCCCCACCCCTCCCCTAGGCCTTCCTGTGTCCCCACGGCCCCAGGAGGAAGTGTGACCGCCCTGGTGTGGCACTGGACATCCCCTGTCCGGCAGTGCCCCCTCTGACTTTCCCGGAGCCAGCCCAGCCGCAAACAACCTGGCCCCTTGGGACACAGGTCTGGGGCGGCCCCTGCCACGGCCTGGCCCAGCCCTGGGAAGGCCGGAGAAGCCTCTGTCCCCAGCAGGTGTATGTAGTGAGATCTCTGAGTCCCACCCCTCCAGCCCTGGAGCCACCTTTTCCTGCTGGGTTGCCTCGATCCAGCCTCTCAGCCCCTTCCTTTCCTTTTCTGGGAGCTGGTGCTTAGCAGGGGCCATCTGCTAGGGGAGCAGAGTGCGGGAAAAACGCCCCGCACCCAGGGCCAGGGTCCTCGTGTTGGGGTCCTCTGTGGGTGCCTCCTGTCCTCGGTCGCAGGAGGGACCCCGGACATCTAGCGTGGGCAGTGAGTGGAGGCCCGGGCCACCCCCTCATCCACTGCCACGGGTGACCCCATCCCACTTTTCCGCGTCAGCCCTGACTGAGGTCACCGGCCCCTCCCCAGGCAGCCCTGCCTCTGTCACCGTCCGGTGTGCGGCCGTGACTCAGCGACCGGCCCCGCCCAGTGGCGGAGGGAGGAGCGGGGGTCCCTCCTGGCGCTCCTGGGCAGGCGCGGGCTCCGGCAGCGCGACAGGTGCGGCCTCGCGGCGATAGCGGCACCCACCTGGCGGCCCAGGTGGGAACGACAGCGGCCCGCCATTCCCGGCCTTCTCGCGGGACCCACTCCACGGGCGCCATCTCCCGGCCCCAGGCCTCCGAGCTCGTGGTCCTGGGGGTGCGTCCCCGCTGCCAGACAGTGCTCGGCGGGGGAAGTGCGTGCTGAGTGCGGGTCCTGGGCCCACCCGAAGCCCCGGTGCCGCGTCCCGGGGGGAGTGCGCGGAGCTGAGGCCCAGGCCCGCGCCCTGCGTGCACCTGGCGGTCAGGAGAGGTCGACTGCGTGGGGAGGGGGCGCAGGAGCGCGGGCCGGCGGGCTGGGAGCTGCAAGGAGCGCGCGACCACGTGCAGCCGGGCTGGACCGCCGCGACCCCGCACCAAGTTAGGGCGTGCAGCCCTGGGCCCTGCCTGAGAAACATCCCGGGGCTCACCTTGCCCGAATGCAGACCAGCTCAAGTCCCAGCTTCCCGGCCTGGGACGGGCGGGGCGGCGAGGCACAGCCGGTCTCCCAGCCACGCCCGCCCTGCTGTGCCCGCCCCCGCGGCGCGCTGGGGAAGGATGGCGTGGCTAAGACTCGGGTACCCTGACAGAGTCCGGGCTTGACCCCCGGCACCCTCCATTCTCCGCAGACAAGAGGCAGCCCTTAGGACACAGCGCCCAGAGCAGTAACCTCTTGCCCTTGTCCCGCCCTGACCCGCTTCCCCTTTTCCGCGTGGCGCCAGCCGTCCCTCGAGTGGAGACACCTGGAGAGGCCCTGACCTAGTCGCTCTGCAGAGCTGCTTGGGCGAGCTGCTGGCCAGAGCAGGAGGGGCGGGACGGGTTAAACAGGCTTTCCCTACCTCGGTGCCCCGCGCACACTGGACAAGACATCTGCTCCCCGGCCTGCTGCCGCGGGGAGAGCTGGAGGAGCTGACCAGCTAGCGGGCAGGAGAGGGTCCGTGCGGAGAGTCAGCGAAAACGACTCCCCTCCCTCCCAGCCCTAGAGTTATAGCCCCTTCCACGTTTTTGAGATAGGAGGCAGCTGCGAATCGGCCTAGCCTTCCTCTGCGCTCCCTCCTCCAGGGCTGGGAACTCCTCCCTCTCTATTCCACCCCTACTTGGGCTTCCTGCACGAGCAGCTGCTGGGCAGGTGCTATGCCAGGTACAGGGGCTATGCCAGGTACAGGGGCTATGCCAGGTACAGGGGCACCAGCTTCACTGTGGAGGACAAGGATGCTGTGCCCCAAGAACCAATGCTCTAGGGCAGAGAGTGGGTGAAAGAAGCTAATAATCAATAGGAGTTGATGGGAGGTCGTGGGTGGCATGGGGGCATGCCAGGAGGAGGCAGCCAGTGGGACAGCTTTGGGGGCAAAGGAACAGCCAGACGGTGGTCAGGGCGCTGAAGGAGTGGAGGGACAGGCAGCGCCCACTCTGTGGGCCTCCAGCACCAGGGGAAGGGGCTTAGATTCTACCCCGAGGCAGCAGGTAGCCTTGGGAGCAGCGGGGATTTGAAACATGGGGATTCATTGCGGAAGCCGAGGCCCTGGGGTGGGAAGGGTTGCAGGACGCGCACTGCCAGGGAGCAGGCATGGCCACATGAGGCAGGCTGTGGCCTGGGACGGTGGTTTCTGGCTTTAGCCCTGTGAAGAGGGTGGGGGCTCCTCGGTTTCATCTCCGTTTCTGGCTCCTCCCCTGCAATCTGTGACCGCAGCTAAGAACCACCCTGAGGGGAAACACAAACTTCAGGCCTCGCTGCCTCTGGGGAGGAAGGAGTGGGACTGGAGGGGGGGGGGGCGGCCGGAGCTCCTGGGGTGGGGTCCACAATGGCCAGGTGGAGAGCAGACCCTCCCCACTCCGTGCGGCTCTGGGAGGCCACAGGGGAATGAGGCCTGGGGAAAGGAGCCTTCTTCTCGGGCCCAGTGGAGGGTCACAAACGGGCCTGGGGCTATGCCCTTGGGAACAGAGGGAGGAGCAGGCACCCTGGTCTCAGGTCTCACACACGACACACAGAGGCACTGAGCACGTCTTACTCATCACCGAAAACTGAGCCCCTGGGTGTCAGGCAAGACGCCTGGGGGGTTTGCTGGGCCACCTGACGGCCTCCTGTCCCCAGACTTCCTGTCCACACGGGAGGGCAAGCAGCCTCAGAGCCCCTGATGGGCCACACATCTCACATCGCAGAGCCCTCTCCTCTTTTTTGACAGGAACTGGGGTACAGAGAGGTCACGTGGCAGGCACAGGGCTGAGCCGGGCCCAGAACCCAGGTGTCCGACTCCCAGCTCAGGGCTCTTCCAGGGGCCTCCTTGGTTCCTGCTCACAGCGGGGATGGGGAGCCTCAGGTAAACTGCAACAGGGATCCTGTCTCCAGAAGGCCTGGAGCAGCGGGGGTGGGGCGGGGCAGGGGAGTGGGGTTGAGGGACTCTCGGCCTGAGTGTCTGTGTGCATTCAAGCCCCTAACCCTCGTGTAGAGTGCCCACACCGCCCTCCAGAACCTTCTGACCTCCCAGAATGTGACCTTGTTTCTGGCTAATTACCCTGACCCAGGAGACTGCCTCAGTTTCCCTCCCTGTGAAAACTCCACAGTCTGGGACTCTCCTCCAGTGGTGAGAATTGGACAAAACATGCAGAGACCTGGTCTGGGGACCAGGTGAGAATTGGACAAAACATGCAGAGACCTGGTCTGGGGACCAGGTGAGAATTGGACAACACATGCAGAGACCTGGTCCTGGGACCAAACAAGCAGCACCTGGCCACTCACAGCCAGCTGCCCAGTGACTCCGCAGGGGTGGGGTGGGGGGCAGCCAGCTGAGCCTTCTGAGCTTCAGTCTGCGCAGTGGGGCAGGAGAACCAAGCCCCAAGCTGGGCACCAGCCAGGAGACAGAAGTGTGGGACCCTGGCCTTGTCCCTTGAGCCAAAACTCAGAGGCAGCCAGGCCGAGTTGCAGGAAACCAGCCTTGCCCACCGGGACCAGCCTTGGGACCACTGTTCCTGAAGAGGCAGAGCCCACTCCAGACCTGCCCAAGGGAGCCAGCCAGGCCCTGGAAAGAGCTTCAGGAAACAGGGCCATCACCTTGCATTTCATCTGTCCAAAAGGGTGTGGGAGAAGAGGGAGGTGGGCTGAGAGTAGGGAAGCTTTGCTTGCCTTGGATTCAAGTTAGCTTTTTATTATGGGAGAACTTTAAACTTACAGAAAAGTTGCAAAGACAGTGGGAAGGTTTCCCAATGCTCTATTCCCAGTGTCCCCTAACCTGGCATCTTACACGGTCATGGGACAACTGCCATAACTGAGAGATTAACCTTGATACTTACGGCCAAACTCAAGGCTGTGGGCTTTGCTAGTTCTTCCACCACTGTTCCTTTTTCTGTTCAGGGTCCATCGTTTCATTTAGTGGTGGAAGATGAGACACTCCAGGCTGGGTGAGGTGGCTCACGCCTGTAATCCCAGCACTTTGGAAGGCCTAGGCGAGTGGATCACTTAAGGTCAGGAGTTCAGGCCAGCCTGGCCAACATGGTGAAACCCTGTCTCCACCAAAAATGCAAAAATTAGCCAGGCATGGTGGTGCACGCCTGTAGTCTCAGCTACTCGGGAGGCTAAGGCCCGAGAATCGCTTGAACCCCGGAGACAGAGGTTGCAGCGAGCCAAGATCGCGCCACTGCGCTCCAGCCTGGGCGACAATGAGACTGTCTCAAAAATACAATAAAATAAAATATAAAGAAAAAGTAGACATTCCAGGCAGGTAGAGTGACAGAGGCAAAGGCTAGGGGTGGGGACCCATGCCCACGCCCCCATGTCTGTCTGACAAGTAGCCGGCCAGGTGGTTGGCGGTGGGGACTGGGGGGCCCTGTCAACTGGTGTGGAGGTGACCCAGAGTCCGGGGGCTGATCCGGTGCAGAGGGAGGAACAGGGCAAGGAGCTGGAGGTGGGGCAGTGCAGGCCGTGGAGGGCGCAGGCCCTGGGTTAAGCCTCAGCTCTGCCATACCTCCCTGGGCCACTGTTGTCGTATCCACTAAATGGGCCGAAACTAAAATAAGACATAACAAGGTCATGATAAAAAGCCATCAAAACCAGCACTGAACTAGAAAAGAAAAATCACATCGCTTCTCCAGGCCCCAAGTCTCCCTTCCTGAAATGTGAAGGACACACCCACCTCTGGCGGAAGTGCAGCTGCCGACTCTCCCGGCTCCGGAGGCCGCCCAGCTACCCCCAGCTCCATCCATGCGGTCCCCTCCCCAGGCCCAGCTGCCCGGCCCTCTCCGGCACTGGTTCCAGAAGGGTGGCGGCTGCCCTGCGCCACTGGCTTCCCAGAGCATATCCAGGACAGGCCCCGCGCGACCTTGGGCGAGGCCCCGCTGCTAAACAGAAAAATCACAGCGCGCGGTCCAGCCCCCTGCGCCCCGCGGGCTCCAGGCCTCGCCCTGCCCGCCCGCCCGCATCCCAGGGACAGGCAGACCCGCATCCCCGCCGCCGTCGGTCCCGGGACTCCCCAGGCTCCGAGGCCCCCCACGCCCGGCTCCCGCCCCGACCCCTCGGAGGCGCCGGGCCACTCCTACGCCCCGAGGCTGCCCGGCCGCCGCCCCTCTGTCCCGCGCGCCAATCGGCGGCCTCCTTGACTAAATAAGGCCAGGAGCGCCGGGCGGGCGCCCCCCGTCCGTTACTTCCGCCCCCCGCCCGCCGTGACTCAGGCCCGGCGGCGGGCGGGGATGGCGCTGCCCCGGGCCGGGCTTCCCGGCGGAGGCGGGCGGGGCTCCGGCGGCGCCGAAGTCGCCAAATATGGCCGCGCCACCGCCCCCCGCCGCGTACCTGGGCCACACCTTGACCCCTGCCGCGTGACGCGGCCGCGGAGGAGGAAGTCGCTCTCCACCCCCGGCCCGCGGCGGCGTCCCCTCCCCGCCCCTCCCCGCGGCTCAGGCCCTGCGGGTGGCGGGGAACCCGGGGGTCTCGAGGCGCCAGCCTCGCCCCCGCCCCCACGACCCTGGCGGCCTCGGGTCCGCAACGTGGGGAAGAAAGGTGGGGGACGGGGACGCGCGCCCGGGGCCGGCACCTCCCCGCACTTCCTAGACAAAGAAGCTTCGGAGGAGACCAGAGACCCGGAGGGGCAGGGTCCCCGGCCGGCCCGGAGCAGAACGTAGTGTGGGGTGAACGCAGGATGGAGGGGCTTGTGGCTATTCCCCACCCGCCTCGTGTCCCTCGGTGTGTGACGTCGCATCTTGGGACCCCCCAAGTGGAAGTCCTCACCCGGGGGTCGAGCAGGCTGTGTGGTTCTGCCCAGGGACGCGAGTCCGGGTGGGTCTGTTGGAGGCCCAGCCCCGGCTTCGCCACGGGAGGGAACATACCTGACAGCCTTGCCCGGGCCCCCGGAGATTCTGGGCCTGGGGGCGCTCAGCACCCCTGGGAGGCCTGGGGCACGGGGGCCTTAGGCACGGGTCTCGGCGTCCGGGCTGACTGCAGCCCGCAGGTGAGCTGGGCCGGCCGCCTTGCCCTGACTCGCTGTTGTCACTCCCAAACACGGGGTCGCGAGCTAACGTTGCAGGGCCCCGGACTCCGCGTGGGGACCCCGGCCCCGCCCCCCAGCCTGTCGAGTCAATCTGAACGCTCTGCGACCTCGGGCGAGTCCGTCCCCTCACTGCGCGGCCTCACTGCCACCCCTACGCGGCCGGCGCTCCAACCCTGAAAATTCCAGCAGCGCACAAGGAAACCGTAGTGCCGGGCGCCTCTCGGGGTGTAACCAAAGCACCGGCGCCGCTCCTGGCGAGGAGTGAGCGCCCTGGACAAGCCTGTGGCTAAACCCACGCCAGCCCTGATCGCTGCTCTTAACTAGCATCGTAAACAGAAGAGGGTATCCCCCCGACCGCCCGAAGCTGGGGAGCCGACCTTCAAAAAAGTCAGGGCTCCCATTGTCTACCTCAGTTTCCCTATAATGTCTACAGGTGACCAGAATGAAACAAAGGCCTCACTCCACACCACCTTCTCAGCACATAAGGGGGCGGGGTAGCCCCAACCCGGAGCGCGCGCCTGGGGACAATCAGGCCTGTGATTTGAGGGGCAGGGATGTGTCGGGTCGGGTAGAAAGGGGCCTCGGTCTTCAAACGAACGGAGATCCGGGGCAGGGCGCCCCGTGGAGGGACCTGCATGGTGGTGGCTGCGCTTGGGGACGGGCGGGCTGTTTCCTATGGTGACCGGGGCGAGGTGAGGGCTCCTGAGAGCTCCCCCGCGCCCAGGGACGCAGAGCGTCGCGGACCCCCGCCGCGCCCCTTCCTCAGCCCGGCACTGGCGCCCGAGATCCTCGTGGAGCCCGAGGGGAAAGATTGCAAGGGACGTCCCAGGGAGCAAAGCCCCGCAGCGTGGCCGGGGACTCGGGGACCCACCCCAGCTCCGGCGCGGCCCCGCCCCGGGTCAGGCAGTTTCGGGGCGCAGCAGGGCCCTCCCCACGGCGCGGCAGTCCCGGGGAGGGGCCAGGCCCGTCAGCCCTTCGGCCCTCCCGGCGACCCTCGGAGGGCGCCCCAACTCAGACCCGCCCGCCGGCCCGCGCAGGGTCGCGAGCGCGCGGGGGTGGCGCGGGCGGGGCCGTTGGGAGGCGGTGCGGGCTGGGGGCGGGGCGGGCCGGGGCCCCACGTGTCCCTGCCCGGCGGGCCAATGGGTGCCCGGCTTTCGGAAAGATCGCCATATATGGACATGTTCTGGGGCCGCGCGCGCCGCCGGGCCGCGCGGGCGCGCCGCTTCCGCTTAAATAACGGCGGGGGAGGCCGCGGTCGGTCTCAGTCGCCGCTGCCAGCTCTCGCACTCTGTTCTTCCGCCGCTCCGCCGTCGCGTTTCTCTGCCGGTGAGCGCCCCGCCCCGGGGCCTGAGCTGGACGTCGCAGGCCTGCGCCCCCCGACCCCGGCTGGCCCCGCTTCCAGCTGCCGAGGCCTCGTCGCGCCTTCCCCGGGAACAAAAGGCGGGGTGGGCCGGGTCAGGCGGACGGGGCTGGGGGGGCGCCGGGGGTCCAGGGCGGGGCCCGGCCGCAGTGCAGACTTCCGAGCCGTGGACGTTACGTAAAAGGCCCGGCCTTCGGTTCCAGGCGGTTGCGATCTTGGAGGCCACGGCCGCTGGGGTTGGGGCAGGGCCGAGGCTTCCCCGCGGGAGGGCATTAGGTGGCTGTGGGGAGGGGACCGTGTTACAGACGCGCCCGCCTGAGTCCATCCTTTTCCGGGCAGGTCGCAATGGAAGAAGAGATCGCCGCGCTGGTCATTGACAATGGCTCCGGCATGTGCAAAGCTGGTTTTGCTGGGGACGACGCTCCCCGAGCCGTGTTTCCTTCCATCGTCGGGCGCCCCAGACACCAGGTGAGTGGATGGCGCCGCGGGGCTCCTGGGTTCTGCGTTGCGGGGTGGGTTCGGTGTCGCCGGCGAGGCTGACGGGTCGTCCCCTGCAGGGCGTCATGGTGGGCATGGGCCAGAAGGACTCCTACGTGGGCGACGAGGCCCAGAGCAAGCGTGGCATCCTGACCCTGAAGTACCCCATTGAGCATGGCATCGTCACCAACTGGGACGACATGGAGAAGATCTGGCACCACACCTTCTACAACGAGCTGCGCGTGGCCCCGGAGGAGCACCCAGTGCTGCTGACCGAGGCCCCCCTGAACCCCAAGGCCAACAGAGAGAAGATGACTCAGGTGAGGCTCGGCCGACGCCCGTGCTCCTCCCGTCCTTTCCCCAGTCATTTTCTGCCCGGCTTGATTTCTGACATTTAAGTGTTTCTTTCGCTGTTCCAGGCTCTGTTCCTCTCCCGGCATTTCCTCCCTGAAGCCTCCAGGTTTCTCATTTGGTTTCTGCCTGCGTTCTTTTCTTTTCTCCACACATCACACTGGCATGCAGCATGTTGTGGCGTGTGAGCATGGGGTGGCCGTGGGTCTCTGTCCCTGACTAAGCCGCCCCTTGTCCCTTCTCAGATTATGTTTGAGACCTTCAACACCCCGGCCATGTACGTGGCCATCCAGGCCGTGCTGTCCCTCTACGCCTCTGGGCGCACCACTGGCATTGTCATGGACTCTGGAGACGGGGTCACCCACACGGTGCCCATCTACGAGGGCTACGCCCTCCCCCACGCCATCCTGCGTCTGGACCTGGCTGGCCGGGACCTGACCGACTACCTCATGAAGATCCTCACTGAGCGAGGCTACAGCTTCACCACCACGGCCGAGCGGGAAATCGTGCGCGACATCAAGGAGAAGCTGTGCTACGTCGCCCTGGACTTCGAGCAGGAGATGGCCACCGCCGCATCCTCCTCTTCTCTGGAGAAGAGCTACGAGCTGCCCGATGGCCAGGTCATCACCATTGGCAATGAGCGGTTCCGGTGTCCGGAGGCGCTGTTCCAGCCTTCCTTCCTGGGTAGGTGTTGTGAGCTAAAGGTTTCTACTCTTACATCCTCGGTGACACAGCATCACTAAGGGAGGGCTCTGTCCCCTAGGTATGGAATCTTGCGGCATCCACGAGACCACCTTCAACTCCATCATGAAGTGTGACGTGGACATCCGCAAAGACCTGTACGCCAACACGGTGCTGTCGGGCGGCACCACCATGTACCCGGGCATTGCCGACAGGATGCAGAAGGAGATCACCGCCCTGGCGCCCAGCACCATGAAGATCAAGGTGAGTCGAGGGGTTGGTGGCCCTCTGCCTGGCTCGGGAGAGCTGACTGGGGGGCGCTCTGTGAGCTGAAGCCGTGCCTGGCTGTCTTTGCAGATCATCGCACCCCCAGAGCGCAAGTACTCGGTGTGGATCGGTGGCTCCATCCTGGCCTCACTGTCCACCTTCCAGCAGATGTGGATTAGCAAGCAGGAGTACGACGAGTCGGGCCCCTCCATCGTCCACCGCAAATGCTTCTAAACGGACTCAGCAGATGCGTAGCATTTGCTGCATGGGTTAATTGAGAATAGAAATTTGCCCCTGGCAAATGCACACACCTCATGCTAGCCTCACGAAACTGGAATAAGCCTTCGAAAAGAAATTGTCCTTGAAGCTTGTATCTGATATCAGCACTGGATTGTAGAACTTGTTGCTGATTTTGACCTTGTATTGAAGTTAACTGTTCCCCTTGGTATTTGTTTAATACCCTGTACATATCTTTGAGTTCAACCTTTAGTACGTGTGGCTTGGTCACTTCGTGGCTAAGGTAAGAACGTGCTTGTGGAAGACAAGTCTGTGGCTTGGTGAGTCTGTGTGGCCAGCAGCCTCTGATCTGTGCAGGGTATTAACGTGTCAGGGCTGAGTGTTCTGGGATTTCTCTAGAGGCTGGCAAGAACCAGTTGTTTTGTCTTGCGGGTCTGTCAGGGTTGGAAAGTCCAAGCCGTAGGACCCAGTTTCCTTTCTTAGCTGATGTCTTTGGCCAGAACACCGTGGGCTGTTACTTGCTTTGAGTTGGAAGCGGTTTGCATTTACGCCTGTAAATGTATTCATTCTTAATTTATGTAAGGTTTTTTTTGTACGCAATTCTCGATTCTTTGAAGAGATGACAACAAATTTTGGTTTTCTACTGTTATGTGAGAACATTAGGCCCCAGCAACACGTCATTGTGTAAGGAAAAATAAAAGTGCTGCCGTAACCAATGAATGGCTCCTGTTTGGGGAAGTAGCAAGTGGGCTGGGAAAGACAGACCAACCTGGAAGTATTGGGTAGTCTTGGGGGTGGGGGCGGTGGGTGCTGCTCAGCTTGGCTTCGTGGGCTGGTGAGAAAACGGCTTAACAATAAACTGAGCAGTTCGATTTCTTCCAAATCGAAAGTGCAAGAACAAGGCAGCCTAGTGGGTTTGGGTGTTGGAGATAACTGAAGCAACATCATAAGCAGGCTGGGAGGGAAGTCCTGAGACGGCTTTTTCCATTATTTAGGAAAAACTAGATGACTTGACATCTTGGGTAAATATTTGGCATAAAATAACCACCTGAATCAGCAGGGGCCTGCCTTAGTTTCCCCCCAGCCCTCAGGTGGACGTGTGATATGAGATAGTTTTACTTTGTGTAAAGAGCGCAGCAGTCATGGAGTTGGCTAGTTACTGAATCCTGGAACTCAGTATCTACCAATAACGAGGGCCTCACCTGGTGTAAGAGGCTCAGCCAGTGCCCTTTGTACTTCAGCTTTTCTCCCCGCAGGTGCCAGGGGAGAGCCTCTGTAGATGGGATTGGGAGTCCAATGCATAGCTCCTCTGAACTGCTTACAGCTGCAGAAGTCATTTGGAGGTTGGGACAGGGAAGGAAGATCTCTACCAGTTGAAAAGAGATTTGGAACTATTTCATGTTAAGTCGGGTCAAGGGATCGTTCTGCTGTTGGAAGAGATTTTACTCAAGCAGAGGTGGTGGTGCTTCCTAGCTCCCCCTCCCATATGGGGATGGGGGAGAGGAGGCTCAAGCTTGGTGGGGGTCGGGGTGGAGGCAAACATAAATTGCAGAGAGCTTACTGAGCTCCAGGCTCCCACCCTACCTTGTTCTGTGACCTCACATCACAGCATGACTCTTCTCAGCGACTCTGATACCTGCAAAAGATAGAAATTCTCTTTGTCCTGTGAAGCATTGCACTTACAGGACAAACTGTGAGATGCTCATGGACACTGGGCATCAGCAAATGCACATTAAAACAAATTAGATGCCAGTTTGTGGCTATCAGATGAGCAGAAATCAGGAGATGGGTAGTTCTGAGCACTGGCCAGGGCATGGGGACCAGGGACAGTCACGCACTCTCGAAGCGTTGAAAGCTGCAGCTCTTCCGGAACTGCCCAGTGCAGGTTCCCTGGGCAACTTGGCAAGACCTTGTCTCTACAAATTTTTTTTTTTGAAACGCAGTTTCCCTCTGTTGCCCAAGCTGGAGTCCAATGGTGTGATCTTGGCTCACACCACAACCTCCGCCTCCTGGGTTCAAGCGATTGTCTTGCCTCAGCCTCCCGAGTAGCTGGGATTACAGGCATGCGCCACCACACCTAGCTAATTTTGTATTTTTAGTAGAGGCGGGGTTTCTCCATGTTGCTCGGGCTGATCTTGAACTCCCAACCGCAGGTGATTTGCTTGCCTTGGCCTCCCAAAGTGCTGGGATTACAGACGTGAGCCACCGCACCCAGCCAATTTTTTTTTTTTTTTTTTTGACATGGGGTCTTGCTCTGTCACCTAGGCTGGAGTGCAGTGGTGTGATCTCAGCTCACTGCAAGCTCCACCTCCCGGGTTCATGCCATTCTCCTGCCTCAGCCTCCCCAGCAGCTGGTACTACAAGTGCCCACCACCACACCTAGCTAATCTTTTCATATTTTTTAGTAGAGACGGGGTTTCACCGTGTTAGCCAGGATGGTCTCAATCTCCTGACCTCGTGATCTGCCCGCCTCAGCCTCCCAAGGTGCTGGGATTACATGTGTGAGCCAGCATGCCTGGCCCCAATTTTTTTTTTATTAGCTGAGCATGGTGGTGGCCTGCCTGTGGTCCCAGCTACTCAGGAGGCTGAGGAGAAAGGATCTCTTGATAGGAGTTTGAGGTTTGAGACTGCAGTGAGCTGTGATTGAGCCACTGCACTCTAGTCTGGGTGACACAGTGAGACCCTATCTCAAAAACAAACAAAAAAACCCCAAACCCCACAAAATTATGTCTGATAAGGATCTAGTATCCACAATATGTAAAGAACGCCTACAAATCAACAACAAAAAGAACCCAATTTAAAAATGAGCAAAGGACTTTATTTTCTCCCAAGCAGATATACACATGGCCAACCGGGAGATGAAAAAGATACTCAACATCATCAGGGGATCATTAGGGAAGTGCAAATCAAAATAACAGTGAGATATCACTTCACATCCAGTAGGATGGCCACAAAAAATAAAAAAAAAAAAAAAGGAAAATAGTGACAGTGAGGGCATGATGGCTCACACCTGTAATCCCAACACTTTGGGAGCCTTAGGCAGGCAGATCGCTTGAGCCCAGGAGTCCAAAACCAGCCTGGGCAACATGGCAAAATCCCACAACAAAAGATACAAAAAATTAGCCTGTCCTGGTGGCACACGCTTGTAGTAACCCAGCTACTCAGAAGGGTGAGGTGGGAGGATCACTTGAACCTGGGGAGATTGAGGTTGCAGTCAGCTGTGATTGAGCCACTGCACTCCAGCCTGGATGACAGAGCAAGACCCTGTCTCAAAAAAAAAAAAACAAAAAAAAAAACTGCTGGGAGCAGTGGCTCACACCTGTAATCCCAGCACTTTGGGAGGCTGAGGCTGGCAGATCACGAGGTCAGGAGAACAAGACCATCCTGGCTCTGTCATCCAGGCTGGAGTGCAGTGGTGCAATCTCAGCTCACTGCAGCATCTGCCTCCTGGGTTCAAGCGATTCTCTTGCCTCAGCTTCTCAAGTAGCTGGGATTATAGGTGTGTGCCACCACACCCAGCTGATTTTTGTATTTTTAATACAAACAGAATTTCGATACGTTGGCCAGGCTGGTCTTGAACTCCTGACCTCAGGTGATCCACCCTCCTTGGCCTCCTAAAGTGCTGGGATTACAGGCGTGAGCCACCGCACCCAGCCAATTGTACACTTTTTTTTGAGACAGAGTCTTGCTCTGTTGCCAGGCTGGAGTGCAGTGGTGTGATCTCGGCTCACTGCAACCTCTGGCCCCTGGGTTCAAGCGATTCTCCTGCCTCAGCCTCCCGAGTAGCTGGGACTACAGGCGTGTGCCTGTGTACCTGGTTAATTTTTGTATTTTTAGTAGAGACGGGGTTTCACCATGTTGGCCGGAATGGTCTTGATCCCCTGACCTCAGGTGATCTGCCTGCCTCGGCCTCCCAAAGTGCTGGGATCACAGGTGTGAGCCACTGCGCCTGGCCTGTACACTTTTAAACGATTAAAATGGTAACTTTTATGTTCCATATTTCTTTTTCTTTTTCTTTCTTTTTTTTTTCTTTTTTGAGATGGAGTGTCGCTCTTGTTGCCCAATTGGAGTGCAATGGCGCAATCTCAGCTCACCACAACCTCCACCTCCTGGGTTCAAGCGATTCTCCTGCCTCAGCCTCCCAAGTAGCTGGGATTACAGGCATGCGCCACCGCGCCCAGCTAATTTTGTATTTTCGGTAGAGATGGGGTTTCTCCATGTTGGTCAGTCTGGTCTCAAACTCCTGACCTCAGGTGATCCGTCCACCTCGGCCTCCCAAAGTGCTGGGATTACAGGCATGAGCCACCGCGCCCGGCTGCAACAGCAATATATTGACTCAGAGGAGGACAGGTGCTGCTGAAAGGGGCTGAGAGAATCTGATCCTGGCTCAGCACAGCTGGGGATTGGCCTCCTCCATGGCCTTTTGTTTGTTTGCTTTTGTGTTTTTTTTGGAGACAGCATCTCACTATGTTGCCCAGGCTGAACTCCTGGACTCAATGGTCCTCCTGCTTAGGCCTCCCAAAGTGCTGGGATTACAGGCATGAGCCACTGCACCCAGCCTAGGACTCTTTTTGAAAAAACAACCACAAGCTGGGCGCGGTGGCTCATTCCTGTAATCCCACCACTTTGGGAAGCCGAGACGGGCGGATCACGAGGTCAGGAGTTCAAGACCAGCCTGGCCAACATGGTGAAACCCATCTCTACTAAAAATACAAAAATTAGCCAGGCATGGTGGCGTGCGCCTGTAATCCCAGCTATTCCAGAGGCTGAGGCAGGAGAATTGCTTGAACCCACATGGCAGAGGTTGCAGTGAGCCGAGATTGAGCCACTGCACTCCAGCCTGGGTGACAGAGCAAGACTCTATCTCAAAAAAAAAAAAAAAAAAAAAAAAATCACAGTATCATGCCCCCACCCACCAATTATTGATCGATACTTAGTATCATCTAATGTCCAAATTTCCTTGGTTGTCTTAAATTTTTTGTTGTTGTTTTGTTTGTCTGTTTTTTTGGGGGGACAGGGTCTTGCTTTGTTGCCCAGGCTAGAGTGCAGTGGCACAATCACAGCTCACTGCAGCCTCGACTTCCTAGGCTCAAGCAATCCTCCCACCTCAGCCGCTTGAGTAGCTGGGACTACAGGCGTGCACCACCATGCCCAGATAATTTTTAAACTTTCTGTAGAGATGGGGTCTCCCTATGTTGCTTAGGCTGGTCTCAAGCTCCTGGTCTCAAGAGATCCTCTCACCTCAGCCTCCTAAAATGTGGCGATTACAGGTGTGAGCCACCATGCCCAGCCTTAAATTTCTTTCTTTTTTTTTTTTGAGACGGAGTCTCACTCTGTCACCCGGGCTGGAGTGCAGTGGTGTGATCTCGGCTCGCTGCAAGCTCCGCCTCCTGGGTTCATGCCATTCTCCTGCCTCAGCCTCCCGAGTAGCTGGGACTACAGGCGCCCACCACCACGCCCGGCTGGTGTATTTTTAGTAGAGACGGGGTATTTTTTTTGTATTTTTTTGTATTTTTTTTGTATTTTTAGTAGAGACGGGGTTTCACCGTGTTGGCCAGGATGGTCTCGATCTCCTGACCTCGTGATCCACCCGCCTCGGCCCCCCAAAGTGCTGGGATTACAGGCGTGAGCCACCGCGACCCACCTAAATTTCTTTTAACGGTTGGTTTCCAATCATTGCACTTGGCCACTATGTCTCTTAAATCTCTTTTAACCGCGGGATTTACCCTCTTTCATTTTTCTCCTTTCAGGTTATTTGTGGAAGAAGGCAGGTCTTTTGTTCCAAAGGGTTCCACCTGTCTGGATTTTGCTGATTTCGTCCTTGTGGTTGATGTGGCACGTTCCTCAACCCTTATATTTCCTATAGTCAGTTAGCTCTAGGTGTAAATGTCCAAACTGGTCTGTTTAATCTCATTCAGGTTGATTTTTTTAGCAAGAAGATGACCACAGGGTGGGTGCAACTTCATGGAGAGGGAAAGAGTCCCACAGAGCCTGATGTTGTGATATTAGCAGCCATTGGAAATCCCTGCCAGGACCTGCTATTTCATTAGTGGTTACAAATTATTCTCCCCCTCCACTCCCCTCCCCTCCCTCTTTTCTCCTCTCCTCCTCTCCCTCCCTCCCTCCTTCTCTCCTTCCCTCCTTCCCTCCCTCCCTTTCTTTTTTGATGGAGTCTCACTCTCTCGCCGCTGGAGTGCGGCCTCCGCCTCCAGTTTCCAGCAATTCTCCTGCCTCAGCCTCCTGAGTAGCTGGGACTATAGGCGCCCACCACCACGCCTGGCTAATTTTTTTTTTGTATTTTTAGTAGAGATGGGATTTCACCGTGTTAGCCAGGATGGTCTTGATCTCCTGACCTCGTGATCTGCCTGTCTCGGCCTCCCAGAGTGCTGGGATTACAGGCGTGAGCCACTGCGCCTGGCCTATTTCTTTCTTTTTTTTAATGGAGTTTTGCTCTTGTTGCCCAGACTGGAGTCCGGTGGTGTGATCTCGGCTCACTGTAACCTCCACCTTCTGGGTTCAAGCGATTCTCCTGCCTCAGCTTCCCAAGTAGCTGGGATTATAGGTGCCCACCACCATGCCCCACTAATTTTTGTATTTTCTGTAGAGCCAGGGTTTCACCATGTTGGTTGGCCAGGCTGGTCTTGAACTTCTGACCTCAGGTGATCTGCCCACCTTGGCCTTCCAAAGTGCTGGGATTACAGGCATGAGGCACTGCACCTGGCCTTTTCTTTTCTTTTCTTCTTTTCTTTCCCTTTCTCCCTCCCTTTCTTCTCCCTTCCTTCCTTCCTTCCCTTCTTTCTTTCCCTCCCTCCCTCCCTTCTTTCTTTTTCTTTTTTCTTTCTTTCCTTTTTTCTCTCTTTCTTTTCTTTCTCCTCTTTCTTTCTTGCTTGCTTTCTTTCTTGCTTGCTTTCCTTCTTCCTTTCCTCTTTCCTTTCTTTCTTTCTTTTCTTCTTTCCAGGGTCTTGCTCTGTCACCCTGGCTGGAGTGCAGTGGCAATAGAGGCTCACTGTAGCCTTGACCTCAGGGGCTCAAGCAATCCTCCCACCTCAGTCTCCCTAGTAGCTAGGACCAGCACGCCTGGTTAATGGTTTTCTAATTCTATCCTTCCTTTTTTTTCTTTTTGAGATGGAGTCTCGCTCTGTCGCCCAGGCTGGGGTGCAGGGGCGCGATCTCGGCTCACTACAAGTTCCGCCTCCTGGGTTCACACCATTCTCCTGCCTCAGCCTCCCGAGTAGCTGGGACCACAGGCGCCCGCCACCACGCCTGGCTAATTTTTTGTATTTTTACTAGAGACGGGGTTTCACAGTGTTAGCCAGGATGGTCTCGATCTCCTGACCTCGTGATCCGCCCGCCTCGGCCTCCCAAAGTGCTGGGATTACAGGTGTAAGCCACCGCGCCCAGCCTGTTTTCAATATCTTAAATGCCATTCAGCTTAGTTAACAGAAACTTCTGGAAGGGATGCCTGCTCTGAGAAGTGTCACACGTGCTGGGGGACTTCAGGGCACTCCTGAAAGGGCTCCCCTTCCCCAGGATCCCTGGGTCCTGATGGTAGGCAGAGGTGGAGGATGTTCTCCAAGCCGAGCCTTCCTGCAGCTTTCAGAGCCTGTCCACACCACCGGCATCCCTCTACCCAGACCAATTTTCCCCGGCAGGAGATGGACATTGTGTTTATTGGATGCAATTTCAAACCCCTTTCATGTTTTCATAGAGGATGGAGACCAAGGGGGAAGTTCAGTGGTTCACGTTGGCAAATCCTGGCTCCGATGACTGAGAGATTTTCTGACTTACAGGACCCTTGCTTGGTTGGAGGTGGGTCCTAAACATCAGAGCCAGAGACAGCTGTGGGCAGGTGTTTTCCTCTGTGCAGCACGTGGGCCAAGTGCTGGGGCTGCCTGCTGTACACAGAGCACCTCGTGGCCTCCCATGGCTCCCTTCAGCTATGCTTGGCCTGCCCGCCTGCTGGTGGTCGTTTGGAATCCTTTCCTGCTGGAAAGGATGTGTCCCCGTGCTGTCCAGCTCCCTGCTGGCGGCCCTTCTCAGGGTGCCCTCCAGAGAGGACTGCCGTGGTGCATACTTCACACATGATGCAGCATCATGGTCTATGTGAATGGCATCCCCTGCAGTTGTGCAGTGCACCACCTGTGCAGCCGTCCACAGCATCCCCACACAGCCCAGTCCTCTCCCGGGAAGCACGCCTTCCTCCACTTCCACCCTCTGTTACTCGTCCATCTCCCTCCCCGATATGCAGGATTAAAAAAAAATTTCTTTCTTTTTTTTTTTTTTTTTTTTTTGAGACAGAGTTTTTGCTCTGTTGCCCAGGCTGGAATGCAATAGTGCAGTCTCAGCTCACTGCAACCTCTGCCTCCTGGGTTCAAGCGATTCTCCTGCCTCAGCCTCCCAAGTGGCTGGGATTACAGGCATCCACCACCACACCCAGATAATTTTTATATTTTTAGTAGAGATGGGGTTTCACCATGTTGGCCAGGCTGGTCTTGAACTCGTGACCTCAGTTGATCCACCCTCCTTGGCCTCCCAAAGTGCTAGGATTACAGGTGTGAGCCACCACGCCCAGCCCCCCAAAAAATTTGTTTTAGATTATGGTAAAACATGCATAACACAAAATTGATCATTTTAATGGTGTTGAAGTGTACAGTCATTACGTCACAAAGCTGTGCCTCTATTACCACATGTTCAGAATTCTTTCATCTTCCCAAACTGAAACTCTACAACTATTTTCTTTTATTTTTTTGAGACGGAGTCTTGCTCTGTCACTAGGCTGCAGTGCAGTGGCACGATCTCGGCTCACTGCAACCTCCGCCTCCCGGGTTCAAGGGATTCTCCTGCCTCAGCCTCCCAAGTAGCTGGGACTACAGGCATGCACCAACACATCTGGCTACTTTTTGTATTTTTAGTAGAGACAGGGTTTCACCATGTTGGCCAGGCTGGTCTCAAACTCCTGACCTCAGGCAATCCTCCCACCTCGGCCTCCCAAAGTACTGGAATTACAGGCGTGAGCCACCATGCCGACTGAAACTCTATATCTATTAAACAACAATTTTCTTCCTTTTTTTTTTTTTTCTTTTTTTGGACAGGGTCTTGCAGTGTAACATAAGCCATAGTGAACTGGCATAATCACAGTTGACCACAGCCTCAACCTCCCTGACTCCAGCAATCTGCCCATCTCAGCCTCTGGAGTAGCTGGGACCACAGGCGTGTGCCACCACGCCTGGCTAATTTAATTTATTTACTTTTATTTATTTATTTTTTAGAGACAGGGTCTCACTTTGTTGCCCATGCTGAAGTGCAGTGGTGCAAGCTCAGTCACTGGCTGGGCTCAGGTGATCTTCCCACCTCGGCCTCCTGAGTAGCTGGGAATACAGGTGCATGCCACCAAGCCCGGCTAATTTTTTGGTATTTTTAGGAAAGACGAGGTTTCACCGTATCACTCAGGCTGGTCTCGAGCTCCTGAACTCAAGCAATCTGCCTGCCTTGGACTCCCAAAGTGCTGAGACTACAGGCATGAGCCACTGCGCCCGGCCAATTTTATTTATTTATTTATTTTATAGAGATGGGGTCTTGCCATGTTGCCCAGGCTGGTCTCCAACTCTTGGGCTCAACCAGTCCTTCTGCCTCTGCCTTCCAAAGTGTTGGTGTTGGGATTACAGATGTGAGCCACCACACCTTCCTTCCTTTTTTTTTTTTTTGAGACAGATTCTCCATCATCCAGGCTGGAGTGCAGTGGCGTGATCTCAGGCTCACTGCAACCTCTGTCTCTCTTTTTTTTTTTTTTTTTTTTTTTTTTGAGATGGAGTGTCACTCTGTTGCCAAGGCTGGAGTGCAGTGGCACGATCTCGGCTCACTGCTACCTCCGCCTCCCGGATTCAAGTGATTCTCCTGCCTCAGCCTCCTGAGTAGCTGGGACTACAGGTGCCCACCACCACATCTGGATAATTTTTGTATTTTTAGAAGAGCCGGGGTTTCACCATGTTGGCCAGGCTGGTCTCCAACTCCTGACCTCAAGTGATCCACCTGCCTCACCCTCTGGGTTGGGATTACAGGCGTGAGCCACCGTGCCTGGCCCTTCCTTTTTAAAGCTGAGAAATACTGCAGTATATGTCTATACTACATTCTGCTTGTGAAGTATGTGTTCCAGGGCCTGCCTGCAGTTCTCTGGGGTCTGTGGCCGGCGTGGACTGCTGGTCATAGGGTCATTCTGTGCACCTTTCTGAGGAACCAACAGTTCTCCACAGCAGCTGCCTCATCTTGCATTCCCATCGGCAGTGGACAAGAGTTCCAGTTGCTTCACATCCTCAGTGGCACTTGTTTTCTATATTTTGGATAATTGCCACCCTGGCGGGTGTGCTGCAAGCCCCTGAGGACAGGCTGACCTGCTCACCGGGCCACCCACCCCTCATCCGGGACCTACCAGGCTCAGATGGAGCCTCCCAGGAAATAGCTGAGATTCCTCTGAACGAACAAACAGACTCCATGCAGCCTTTCAGGCTCTTAAGACCCAGCTGCCCAGGGACACACTTAGCTTGGAGTTTAGGGAGCAGAACAGAACAGGAAGGGACAGGAGGCCTGTCTGCCCCCTGGCAGGACGGGTGGTCCAGAGGAGCCCGGGACCTTCAGGCATGGAGGCCTACCTAGGATAAACGGATACCTGGGCTCAACCCACTTGGAGAACTTCAGCCTAGAGGGTCCCCGGCTCCAGAACCTGCAGCCAGGGTGGCAGGGCTGTTGGCAGCCTGGCTTCCCTACCAGTGCCCGAGGGGCTCTGCTCCTCCCACGGCGGTTCCCCAGACAGATGCTCAGAAGAAAGCCAATGCATGCCCCAGCTGTGGCTCAGCAGTGGGGTCTCCACCTCCGAGGCCCAACAGAGGCCCTCCCTGTCCTCTCGCCATGGCCCCCTGCTGCTCCTCACTGCCTAGGGTGGCCTGGACCTGGTCGCCCAGGCAAGCGTCCAGCTTCTCTCCTGGGGCGGAGGGTCGGGGGACTGAGGGGTGATGTCTGTCCGAGCTGGGCTCCCACACTGGGGCTCATCCCGTGGGACCCCCACTTTGCATGGCCGAGGGCTGGAGGGGCTACGAGGCCCGCGGGATCAGAGTCGGCCTGGGTCCCAGCCAAGGCCCATTTCCCGACTCTCCTGGCCCGGGTCGGCACCCGGATTTGTGGCGTCCCCTCCCCTCGTGGCTGCAGGACCGCAGGGCTGCCTGGGGAGGCCTGGCCAGGCCCTGCCCTCTCTGGGCTGCTCCCTCCCCAGATCCTGGACACGTCCAGCTCAGCTCCGTGGCGCTAATAAGCCCCTAGCCGGGGTGCGGCAGGCGGGGGTCACAGAGAAGCTGCGGGGCTGGGCGTGGGCAGAGCGCGGCGCGGGCGCGAAGCAAGAGGAGCCGCAGATGGCCGGGGCGCGGGGCCGTAGAGCGGGGAGCAGGGCCGGGGCGCTGTCCCGGGCGAGGCGGGGCCGGCAGCGAGGACGTTGGCGCCACGCCCGCGCGTGCCCGTGCCTTGGTTTCCCCAGAGCGAGGCCGACGTCAGGCTGCGAGCTGGTCGCAGGGGAAAGCCCCGATCTCAACCCCCTCTGTCGCTGCGGCACCGCCTGGTCCATCGGCTGACCGCCTCCGCCCTGGAAGGCGCACGGGCTCTGACCCCCGAGGGCTCCAGCCCCCTGCCCTGGGCTCCCATCCGTGGCCCGTGAGGCCCACGCCTCCCGTGCCCAGAGGTGGGCCCTGACCCCGCCACCCCGGCAGGATGCGTGAGGCTGGTGAGGAAGCTCCAGGGACGCCTCAGCGGTGCCAGGGGCCTCAGAACTGCGGGCCACTGGCTGTGACTGTGGCACCTGGGCCGGCCCTGGTCAGAGGCTCATCCTCCGGGAGGCTGGAGCAGGCCGAGCCGCGAGGAAGATTCTGCTTGTATGCAACAGGCATAGCTTCCTTTCCTTCTTTGAAGTTGTTTCAAATTTTGAGACAGGATCTTGCTCTGTCGCCCAGCCTGGAGTGCAGTGGCAAGATCACAGCTCACTGCAGCCTCAACCTCCCAAGCTCAAGTGATCCTCCCACCTCAGCCTCCTGAATAGCTGGAACTACAGGCACATGCCACCATACCCGGTTCTTTTTTTTTTTTTTTTTTTTTGACGGAATCTCGCTCTGTCGCCCAGGCTGGGGTGCAGTGGCATGATCTCGGCTAACCGCAACCTCCACCTCTCGGGTTCAAGCGATTCTCCTGCCTCAGCCTCCCAAGTAGCTGGGATTACAGGCACACACCACCACGCCCGGCTAATTTTGTACTTTTAGTAGAGACAGTGTTTCACTATGTTGGCCAGGCTGGTCTCGAACTCCTGACCTCAGCTGATCTGCCCACTTCCGCCTCCCAAAGTGCTGGGACTGCAGGAGTGAGCCCCCGCTCCCAGCCATCCACTTTTGAGCATACAGTTGGGCACTGAGCATCTGCACTGTTGTTCAGCCAAAATCTCCAGAACTTTCATCTTGCAAAACCAAAAAGCTGTACCCATCAAACAACTCCTTCTCCTCCACCCAGCCCCCGGCAGCCACCATTTCACTTTCTGTCTGTATGAATTTAGCTGCTCTAGGTCCCTCCTACATGTGGAACTGTACAGGATTTGTCTTTTGTGACTGGCCTATTTCACTTAACGCACAGTCCTCAAGGCGGACCTGTGGTGCAGAGTGTGTTGGAATTTGAATTTCCGTGCTCTTTTTTTTTTTTTTTTTTGAGATGGAGTTTCACTTGTCAGCCAGGCTGGAGTGCAAGTGGCATGATCTCGGCTCACTGCAACCTCCGCCTCCTGGGTTCAAGCAATTCTCCTGCCTCAACCTCCCAAGTAGCTGGGACTACAGGTGTGCACCATCACGCCCGGCTACTTTTTGTGTTTTTTAAAATTAGAGATTGGGTTTCACCATATTGGCCAGGCTGGTCTCAAACTCTTGACCTCAAGCGATCCACCCGCCTCGGCCTCCCAAAGTGCTGGGAATACAGATGTGAGCCACTGTGCCCAGCCCAAGTTTTAAATTTTAATAATATCAATTCAGTTTTTTCTTTAATAGATAATGATTTTGGTGCTGTATGTAAAAACTCACGACCTGGTCAGGTGCAGTGGCTCATGCCTGTAATCCCAGCACTTTGGGAGGCCGAGATGGGTAGATCACTTGAGGTCAGGAGTTCAAGACCAGCCTGGCCAACACGGTGAAACCCCGTCTCCACTAAAAATACAAAAATTAGCCGAGTATGGTGATGAGCGCCTGTGATACTAGCTACTTGGGAGGCTGAGGCAGGAGAATTGCTTGAACCCAGGAGGCGGTGGTTTCAGTGAGCTGAGATCATGCCATTGCACTCCAGCCTGGGACACAGATTGAGACTCCATCTCAAAAAAAAAACAAAAACAAAAAACAAACAAAAAAACTCATGACCTAATTTAAGGTCATGTAGATTTTCTCCTATGTTTTGTTCTAGAACTTTTATAATTTTGCATTTTACATTTATGTCCATGGTTCATTTTTTTTTCTTTTCTTTTTTTTGAGATGGAGTCTCACTCTGTTGCCCAGGCTGGAGTGCAGTGTCACGATCTTGGCTCACTGACATAGCTGCCTCCCAGCTTCAAGCGATTCTCCTGCCTCAGCCTCCTGAGTATCTGGGATTACAGGCATGTGGCACCACAACTGGCTAATTTTTATTGTATTTTTAGCAGAAATGGGGTTTCACCATTTTGGCCAGGCTGGTCTCCAACTCTTGATCTCAAGTGATTTGCCCACCTTGGCCTTCCAAAGTGCTGGGATTACAGGCATGAGCCACTATGCCCGGCCTCCATTTTTTTTTTTCTTTTTGAGATAGGGTCTCACTCTGTCACCCAGTCTGTAGTGCAGTGGCATGATCATAGCTTACTGCAGCCTTGACCTCCTGGGCTCAAGCCTCCCCATGTAGCTGGGGCTAAAGGTGTGAGCCACCATGCTCGGTGAATTTTTAATTTTTTTGTAGAGATGGGGTCTCACCATATTGCCCAGGCTGGCCTCGAACTCTTGGTCTCAAGCAGTCCTCCCACATCAGTCTTCCAAAGTGCTGGGATTACAGGCATAAACCATTGAGCCGGGCTGCAAGCATTCTTATTTATGGCATCATTATGAACTTGTCTGGGAATGTCCACATTTTCAAAGCTCTCAGCCAACCATCTTTAGGTTTCTCCCAGGTATTTTCATTTTAAGGCTTTTCCTAATTTTCAAGGGGAAGTTTTTTTAAATAGGAGGAATTTTCCAAACATTCCTGCCAAGTAATTTCAAATGAGGCAGGTTTGCACAACTGGCTTGTTGCTTTCAATAAATAATACCTTGTAAGACTTTGCCAAGACAACTACAGGTATATCCTAATCTTTCCATTTGCCATTAGAACTTAAGTTTTTTCCCCGGGTTATTAAATATTCATTGTAGGATGGCTGGACTGAGATTCACTTACTCTCCTCATTGGACAAGTCAGTTGCTGCCACATGATTGGGTTATAATCAACTCTGTCATGATGACATGAGTGTTAAAGGGTTCCCACCACTCCAGCCACTACCTTTTTTTTTTTTTTTTAAGAGATGGGGGTCTCAGTGTGTTGCCCAGGCTGGAGTGCAGTGGTGCAATCATAGCTCACTGCAGCTTTGGCCTCCAGGGTTGAAGCCATCCTCCCACCTCAGCCTCCCAAGTAGCTGGGACTGCAGGCATGATCCACACTGCCTGGCTAATTTTTACACTTTTTGTAGAAACGGGGTTTCACCCTGTTGCCCAGGCTGGTCTTGAACACCTGGGTTCAAGTGATCCGCTGGCCTCGGCCTCCCAAAATGCTGGGATTACAGGCGTCCACCACGCCTAGCCCCTACCACCATCTTTTTTTTTTTTTTTTTTTTTTTGAGATGGAGTTTCGCTCTTTTTCCCCAGGCTGCAGTGCAATGGTGCCATCTCGGCTCACTGCAACCTCCGCCTCCCAGGTTCAAGCGATTCTCCTGCCTCAGCCTCCCGAGTAGCTGGGATTACCAGCATGTGCCACCATGCCTGGCTAATTTTGTATTTTTTAGTAGAGACAGGGTTTCTCCATGGTGGCTAGGCTGGTCTCGAACTCCCAACCTCAGGTGATCGGCCTGCCTCAGGCTCCCAATGTGCTGGGATTACAGGAGTGAGCCACCTTGCCTGGCAGCCCCTACTACGATTTTAAGAGAGATTATCTAAAATGAAATTACTGGGTGACAGGCTATAGCCTTTTTTAGGCTGCTCATATGTATTGCCACATTACTTTCCAAAAAGTTGTGCCAGCTTATGCTCCCTGCATGTATAAAGAATCTCCTTCTCACCTAAAGTTAATCTCCAGTTTGCAAAGCAGGACTCATCTTTCTGTATAAATTGAAAAACGGTAGATACTAACTTTCCCAGCATCCCTTGCTGTCAGGACTCAGTCACATGGCCCAGGCTCCACCAGTCAGGTGCATCCACCTCCAACCTTCAGTTGGAAGCCTGTGGTGTCTTCACACCATAAGCAGGAGCAGCATAGAACCGGTTCTGGCAGTGAGGCTAGTGGACATCTGGTGGCTAGCATCTGTGACATCCATGCTGTTGCTGAGGGGGCTGGAGCAGCAGCAGCAGCAGCAGGGCTCTTCCCTCATCCAGCTGTGCAGCAGGATCTCAGGTTTTGTACCCGGCCAGGCAGCCCTTCATCTGATCCCCACTCCCCTGCGTAATCTGTGAACCTCCCCATGTCTTGTCTTCCCACCTGTGGCAGGCAGACCTGCCGCCCACCAAAATCTGTTCCCCTTCTTTCCTGCCTATGGAACTTTGCTTTTTGGAGGGCTACCAAGACCCTGGCAATGAAGCATGCTTGGCCATTGCTGTCATGACAACCTGGCTCTCTGCCGTCTCTGAATCCCTCATAGCATGCCCGATCATGGGTGGCCGTTGAGGCCTGGGGGGAATCCACTGCAGGGGCTTCTAGGGCAGGTTTGTCTTTCCCTCTAAAAGGGCACAGATGTGACTGGCCCTGTCTCTCCATCCTTTCTTTGTGCCTTGACTGTAGAGGTGTGTGTGGTATATGGAATTCCAGCAGCTGCCCTACAAACAACATACAAAAGCCCACCTGCCAAGGATGTTGGAGCAGAAAGACTGAAAGAGTCTGGGTCGCGATGGGGATAACTCCCACCTCCAGATTTCTAGTTACATGAAAAAGAAGAAAAGCCTCCACACATTGAACCGCCTGCAGTTGGGTATTCTGCTGCTTGCATCTGAATTTTTTCCTCACTAGCACCACGTTCTTACCTGGATACCCCGTGGGCCTGCCTCTGCGGATCAATGCGTGTATTTGCACGAAGCTCTATGGCAAACAGAGGTTCTCACTTCTCCTTTATTTATATATATATTTTTTGAGACGGAGTCTCGCTCTGTCACCCAGGCTGGAGTGCAGTGGCACGATCTCGGCTCACTGCAACCTCTGCCTCCCGGGTTCAGGTGATTCTCCTGCCTCAGCCTCCCAAGTAGCTGGGATTACAGGCACACGCCACCACGCCCGGCTAAGTTTTGTATTTTTAGTAGAGACGGGGTTTCACCATATTGACCAGGCTGGTCTCGAACTCCTGACCTCGTGATCCGCCCGCCTAGGCCTCCCAAAGCGTTGGGATTACAGGCGTGAGCCACCTACTGTAATCCCAGCTACTTGGGAGGCTGAAGCAGGATAACCGCTTGAACCCGGGACGCAGAGATTGCAGTGAGCTGAGATTGCCCCACTGCACTCCAGCCTGGGCAACAGTGAGTGAGACATCTCCAGGCCGCCATGCTGGGAAAGTGCAGAAGTCAGGCGCTCCAGGCGAGCTGGACCAGAGCTTTGTTCTGATTGGCTGAGGCCTGGATTGCCTGAACCAATCATGATGGAGGGGAGGCCGCACTGACCTGGTTGGCTGGCGGGCGTGGGGCAGCTCCAGGCCCACCATGCACATGGCTGATGTCCTGGTCCAGGCGCTGATGGAGGGAGGCACCCGACAAGCAGGTGGTTTTGTTCCAGGAAAACAGCAAGTGCAGTGGTTGAGTGTAGATGCAGAGCCAGCCTACCTGGATTGTGTCCTGGCTCTGCCACTTAATAGTTGTGCAATCTGAGTCGAGTTATACAACCTCCTTGTGCCTCAGTTTCTTAATCAGTGTGGTGGAAGGTTCCTACCTCATTGGCAGGTTGTTAACCTGTGTAAATAAGTCCTGTTACCACCACAGCCCCCACTTTCTGGTTCATAACAGAGACCAGAGAGTTGGCCTGCATGCCCTGAGTCAGCAAACATTTACTAAGTGCCGTGGTATATGCCAGGCGTGTGCGTGGGTCTGCAGACAGCCCCTCTGGTGAAGGGCAGCTCCCTGAAGCCTGGAGTACTGCCTGCTGCAGGGGATGGCCCTCCTTCCATGTTGGAGGAAATGCTTGTGTGGGCAGAAGTGCCCTGGAAGGTGAGCATGTGGCTTCTGATACATGGGAGGACCAACAATTTTCTGGGCAGAAGGAACACCAGGTGCAATGGATGAAGGGAGGACCAGACAGCTCGGGCCTGCAGCCCCCAGGGAATGGAGACATGCAGAGGAGGGTGTTTGGGCTCCATCTATCCCAGGGCTCTGGCCACAAATGCGGGGCTTCCCCTGCTGTCCTGGGTCAGAAAAGGAAAGCCACGCAACTCTGAGGTCTCCTCTCCCCTGTGTTTTACTTTTTTTTTTTTTTTTTTTTTTTTGACTGTCTCTCTCTGTCCCCAGGCTGGAGTGCAGTGGGGCAATCTCAGCTTACTGCAA
Organism: Homo sapiens; assembly: GCF_000001405.40. Lineage (NCBI taxonomy): Eukaryota > Metazoa > Chordata > Mammalia > Primates > Hominidae > Homo > Homo sapiens. The sequence continues at coordinate 149,102 of NW_025791805.1, read as the reverse complement.
CCTCCGCCTCCCGACTTCAAGTGATTCTCTTCAAGCCTGGCTAATTTTTTGTATTTTTAGTAGAGGGGGTTTCACCATGTTGACCAGGATGGTCTCAATCTCTTGACCTCGTGATTCGCCCCCCTAGGCCTCCCAAAGTGTTGGGATTACAGGTGTGAACCACCGCGCCTGGCCCCTCCCCGCTTTTGTTTTCTTTTTTCTTTTTTTTTGAGACAGGGTCTTACTCTGTTGCCCAGGCTGGAGTGCAGTGGTGTGATCATAGCTCACTGCAGCCTGGAACTCCACCGTCCAAGTGATCCTCCTGCATCAAGCCTCTGGAATAGCTGAGACTACAGGCGCGCACCACCCTCAGTAACAGACGCTCAACCCTCGGTAACGAAGTGAAAAAAGGCGGTCTCGGGGATGAGCTCAGGTCCCACTGAAGCCACAGGTCGACAGAAGCCTTCTCAGAAGGCGAGAAGGAACCCAGGGAAGCGTCGCCCGCACTCAGAGTGGCTCAGTGGGGGAGGGGGAGCAACCCAGCGCGAGGACCTCAGCTCTCAGTGCAGCTGCTGTTGATCCTGAGTCTCTGATGTCTTCTCTGTCCCTGCCTGGAGATTCAAAGTCCTTACGGAAGCATCGGATCCATGCCTGGCTAATGTTTTATTTTTTTAATTTTCTGTAGAGACGGGGTTTCACTATGTTGTCCAGGTCGGCTCCATCCTCGGCCCCAAAGCGCTGGGATTACAGGCTGAGCCACCCCCTGGCATTTATAAGCAGCTCCTCTTAGGTGCCTGGCTACACCTGCTCCTGCTGCTGCTTTAGCAGTGCGTTGGCCCTCTACAGCTGTGTAACAAATTACTCCAAAACACAGGGGCTTACAGCAAGCATCTATCATCTCTCACAGCAGCTGAGGCGCTGGAAGCAACTCACCTGGGTGGTCTTCCACGAGGCTGCGTGCTGGGCTGGAAAATCCACTTCCAAGCTTGTTCCCCTGGCTGTTGGCAGGGAGTGAGCTCCTCCCCATGTAGAGGAAGGGAGACGAGAGAGGGAGGGAGAGAGGGAAGGGGGGAGGGGGAGAGGGAGGGGGGAGACAGAAAGAGAGAGAGGGAGAGGAGGAGGGGGTGAGAGAGGGAGGGGGAGGGGGGGAAGAGGGAGTGAGAGGGAGAGGGGAACAGAAAGAGGGAGAGAGGGAGAGAGTGGAGGTGGAGAGAGGGAGAGGGGGAAAGAGGGAGAGAGGGAGGGAGGGAGAGAGGCAGGGAAGGAGAGAGGGAGAGAGAGGGAGAGAGGGAGAGAGAGGGAGGGGGAGAGGGAGGGAGGGAGAGAGGGAGGGGGAGAGGGAGAGAGGGAGAGAGAGAGGGAGAGAGGCAGGGAGAGAGGGAGAGAGGCAGAGAGAGAGGGAGAGAGGCAGAGAGAGAGAGAGAAAGAGGGAGAGAGACACAGAGAGACAGAGAACCAGGACGGAAGCTGCTGTGTGCTGTGTCCCTCTAAACTGGCCTGCTGGCGCCTCTGCCCTGCTCTACTGATTACACAGACCCTCCCTTGGTGGGGCGTGGCCAACAGGAGGGCAGGGGTACAGGCCTGTGGGGCCATCTGGGAGGCTGCCCACCCTGGATGGCTGCTGCCCTGCTGTGTGTTCGGGGTGCACACGTGCTCCTGTCTGTGTTTGTTTTAGTACCTAGTCAGTGTTGTTATTGGGATGTCTCAAGTCCACTTGGAGCAGACTGAGGGTCACACCTAGAAAGTGGAATGTGGCTCCTCTGAATCCCTTCTTGGGAGGTCCCGAGCTCAGGTGGCCTCTGCCTGTCCGGAGTAGACAGAATTCTCGTGGAAACTGACTTCAGATTTCTTTTTGAACACACTCATATTTGCTGCGAATAACTCCCTTTTTTGTGATGCTCCCAGATCCTGCCTGTCCTGGCGATGTAGGCAAACGAATGAGCAGCATCCAAACTGTCCCCATGAGCCGAGGTCACAGCCTCGTCAGGCCCCAGGAAGGGCCAGTGCCCCCACCCCCACCTGGCCCCCAGCCCCCTCTAAGGCATGGAAGAGAGACCCAGGGGGCAAGGTCATGCGGTCCTGAAACAGGTCCCAGACAGATGGGCATCCCGGGCTTCAGGCAAATGGGTCACCTGTCAAGGACAGCACTAGTGACATCCCAGTACCAGGGAGTGGCCCCAAGCCAAACTGAGGAGTGTCTGGGAGCCGGGGACACACAGGCTTTCAGTGTGGGGGACTCATTACATCAGCTACTCGAGGGTCAGGAAATAATTTGTCACTCTCTGCCCCACATGGCCTCTGTGGAAATCAAACAAGCAGTGTTGCCTATTTTTAAGGATAAATTAATGCATCAATATAAAAAACGTCAGGCGGCGATGTGGAGGGGGTAGGCAGAGGGGGCTTGTGATTTATTGGCTCTTCAAGGAGTGTTTCTGGGGCCACTCTGGCTTCCTCCTGCCACCAGCAGGGTGCCCAGGGGCCCCTCCACCGAGGTCATGAGCCAAGCCACCCACCCCAACTGGGGGGCCCCTGACCAGGCTGAAGGGCCACACTCCCTCCAGCTGGTGACTCAGAAACATCCAGTATTAACTGCACTGGGACAGAGAGACAGGGAAGGAGCTAGGGGCAGGAAGGAACAGTCCTGGCCCTGGAACAGGTTGTGGGTCTGCCTGGGGCTGAGTGCTCCTGTGTCCTCACACTGAGGGGCTTCTCCTGGCCTGGCCACAGCGAGGCTAATGGGGTCCCCAGGGGGCCGTGGCTCCTGATTCCTTAGCATGAACAGGTGCCCCACAGGCTCAGATGGCCCCCCAGGGCTGTGCCCTCCCTCCCTGAGAGCACCTTGCCAGCATCCCCACCAACACCCAGGACCACCCTGGTCCACGTTTGCCAGTTTGGAAGGTGAGAAATGACATTTCCTGGCTGTGTGAATTTGCATTTCTTTGGTTTTTGGAGGGCGTGAGCTTCTTTCCATTTGTTTGGGGCCATTGTGAATGTCTGTTCAGTCTTTGCCTGTTTTCTATGGAAGGGTCCCCATTTTCCTTGCCGACGGATGCGGCACTCTGGCAGCTGGGAGTGGTGGCGTTCAGCGGTGCCCTTGTGTGCTTTAGCTGTGGTGCGTGCGGGAGAGGAGTGCTGATGCTAGCCTGGAATCTCACCAGGGATCTGCAGCCCCGGCTTTGTTGTCAGAAAATGCTGAGAGAGGCCTCCTGGGAGCCAGGCAGGATGCAGCAGGAAACAGAGGGGCAGAAAGAGCTCAGGTCCGCAGCAGCAGGGAAGGGGGCACCAGCTACCAGAACCCAAGCAAGAATTGGGCTTGAGGGGGCCGAGGAGCGGGGGAGGGGGACTGAACATTTAGACAGGGGTGTGGGGGCTGTCTGAGAAGACACGTGAGCAAAGATTTGTGGGAGAAGATGGAGGCGCCTAGAGCAAGAAGAAGAGCAGCCCTCAGAGGGATGGGCACGCAGAGGCCCTGGGGCCAGCACAGCCTGGGTGCATTCCGGGAGCTGCAGGGAGGCCAGGCCAGGGCCGTGGGGGGCTGGGGCAGGGGGTCAGGCTAGCTGGGGGCCTGTGGGTTCCAGGAATGCTTTAGCTTCTGCTGCCAGTGCTGGGCGGGTAGGCTGTCAGTTCTCCAGGTGCAGGGCAGACAGGTGGTATGAGGCCCAGTTTGCAGAGAGCATGGTGCGCCAAGCCTCGTGAACCACAGAGGTTTACATGCCGGTGAGAGCCCTGGGTCCGCAGGCCAGAGTTTGCTCCTCTGCAGAGCTCCTGGTCGGCCGGCCTCTGCCCTTCTCTCCAGGACTTGGGGGTTCTGCTCTACAGCCAGGCGGCCCTCGGGGAGCAAAGTTCCGGGCCAGTGAGAATCCAACATATCCCCAAGCCCCACAGCAACAAGGGTTGAGGGAGCAAAGGACGGTCGGGATGGTGGGAGGTGGCGGTGGCCTTGGTGGGTGGGTGGGGGTGCTGCTGACTTCAGTGCGCTCCGGTTACTCCGTTACCGCACAGGGGTGAAGTGCTGCCAGCCCCCATCCGTGTCCCTCTGCAAAGTGCTCCTGGCATCGAGCTGGGCTCTCCGGAGGCTCAGCCTCCATTTTCTCCTCTGGGCAAGGGGAGTCCTGGGCCAGCGCCCGCTGTCCAGCCTCGCTGCGCCCCGCAGCCCATTTCCTTTCCTGGAGGCTCTGACAGGCCTGGAGGGCCCGGGCGTCAGGGTCGGGTCAGTAGGCTGCCCGGGTCAGCTGAGGCCCGGTCAGTGCGAGGGGCTTTCTCGGAACCGAGGCCGCGGCTACCTGAGGCCTTTGTGCAGAGCCCCGCTCTGGCCACCCGGGGGGGCCGAGGCCAGGAGATCCGCAGGGCCCCCTAGGAGCGCCCTCCGCCCCCTTAGCGACCCCTCCCAGACCAAGGCAGGGCCAGAGGGGACGGTGCCCGAGGGCAGCGGCGCCGGAAACGGCAACAGGCACAACTCGGCCCCGGAACATCCCGGAGGCCCCGGGCGCCGGAAACGGCAACAGGCACAACTCGGCCCCGGAACATCCCGGAGGCCCCGGGGCCTTTAGAGCCCGCGAAGGGCTGTCTCCTCGGGCGCGGCGGGGCCGGGGCTCTCAGCCTCGCCGCCGACCTCGGGAAAAGCCCCCCAGCCTCTCCACCCGGCAGCTGGAGGAGGCTGGTCCGGGGCTGGGGACAGCGGGATCGACCCGCCTGGGGCTAGGCCGACGGCTGGGGATCGCGGACCGCGGGGGGCGCACGTGCGAGACCCTTTTCCCGGCCCGCAGGGAGGCAGGACGGAGCCCCAACTTCAGGCGCCGACGCCGCGTCCCGCCTGGAGGCCGCCGGGGAGGGCCGAGTGCGCACGCGCCTGACTCTGTCCCCACGGCGCGCCCGGGGGCGCCGGGGCCGCCCTGTGATTGGCCCGGGCGGCCGCGCTCTCGGCCAATGGATGCGCGGCTCCTGGCTCGGCGCGGGCCTCCGCGGCGAGGCATGGGGAGGGTCCGTCTCCCGCCGGGTCTCGGGGCCTGGGGAGGGATGCGCCGGCCCACGGGGTCGCTCCTTCAAGCTGCCCGCCTCCGCTCCGGAGACGAGGCCAGCGAGTCCGTGATCCCGGCCGCCCCCAGTAGTGAGCCCGTGCGCAGAAGCGCCGGCTGAGACGTGGAGCCGCGCCCCGCCTGGCCGGGGCCTGCCCTTCGCAGGGCCTCCCGGTGGACCCCCGGCCAGCCACGCTCTCCCTGCTCCCATCCTGCGGGTCAGAAAAACAATGCTTGGCTGGAGGGGGCCCGCGCCTGTGGTCCCAGCCACTTGGGAGGCCGAGGCGGGAGGATCGCTTGAGCTTGGGAGGTGGAGGCTACAGTGAGCCGTGATTGCACCGCTGCGCTCTAGCCTGGGCCACAGAGCGGAGACCCTGTCTCTAAACAAAACAACAGTGCTTAGAAAGCAGACAAGCCTGTTGCCAAATACCATCAACAAAAATGAGCAGTGGTCATCTCTAGGTGGTGGGGTTGGAGGTAAATAAAAAATATTTTGACTGGGCACAGTGGCTCACGGCTGTAATCCCAGCACCCCAGGCAGGAGTTCGAGACCATCCTGGCCAACACGGTGAAACCTCGTCTCTACTGAAATTACAAAAAAAAAAAAGAAAAAAAAAATTAGCCGGGTGGGCGTGCTGGTGCACGCCTGTAATCTCAGCTACTCGGGAGGCTGAAGCAGGAGAATCACTTGAGCCTGGGCAAGACAGAGGTTGCAGTGAGCCGAGATGGTGCCACTGCACTCCAGCCTGGGCGACAGAGTGACCCTGTCTCAAAAAAAGAAAAAAAAATTTTTTTTTAATCTGTAATTTGTTAATTATTTCAGTTAGCGTTAGTATATTGTTTGTACGAAAATACTGCTTTTGGGCCGGGGGCTGTGGCTCACGCCTGTAATCCCAGCACTTTAGGAGTCTGAAGTGAGCGGATCACGAGGTCAGGGGATTGAGACCATGCTGGCTAACACGGTGAAACCCCACCTCTACTAAAAATACAAAAAATTAGCCAGGCGTGGTTGCGGGTGCCTGTGATCCCAGTTACTTGGGAGGCTGAGGCAGGAGAATCGCTTTCACCTGGGAGGCGGAGATTGCAGTGAGCCGAGATCGTGCCACTGCACTCCAGCCTGGGTGACAGTGTGAGACTCCGTCTCAAAAAAAAAAATTGCTTTTTATAAAAATGAAAGCTGTATAACAAGAACAATAATAAAAACAGTAAGCGTTGGTGAGGATGTGGAGAAACTGGAGCTCTCATACAATGCATGCGCCGTGAAAAACACATTAGCGGTTCTCAAAGAGCGAAGGGTAGAATTACCCAGCAGTTCCGCGCAGCCACACACCCAGAGAACTAGGGGCAGGAACACGAACAGTGTGCTCAACACGAGTTATTCCAAATGTTGACCACAACGATACTCACCACAGAGAAAAGGTGGAAACAACCCACGTTTCCATCCATAAATGAATAGAGAAACAAATGTGGTCCCTCCATACAATGGACTATGATTTAACGTTAAAAAGGAAGGAAATTCTGACGCACACCACGCACAGATGGCCTGAAAACATTATGCTAAGTGACATGAGCCAGTCACAAAGGACAACGTCTGTCTGATTCCACTTATAAAACATCTAGAATAGGCAAGTACAGAAACAGAAAGTAGGTAAGAGGTTGCCAGGGGTTGGGGGGAGAGGGCAAGGCCAGGGGCTGGGGAGAGAGGGAAAAGGAAGTTGGTGCTTAATGGATAGTCTCTGGAATGACAAAAAAGTTCTGCAGACGGATAGTGTTGAGAGTCTCACAACATGGTAAATGTACTCAATGCCTTTGAAGTGTACACTTAAAAATGGTTAAAATGGCAAAATGTATCACAGTTTAAAAAATTATGGGCCAGGCATGGTGGCTCATGCCCACATAATCCCAGCACTTTGGGAGGCCGAAGCGGGCCGATCACTTGAGGTCAGGAGTTCGAAACCAGCCTGGCCAACATGGTGAAACCCTGTCTCTACTAAAAATATAAGAAAATTAGCCAGGTGTGATAGTGGGTGCCTGTAATCCCAGCTACTTGGGAGGCTGAGGCAGGAGAATCCCTTGAACTCGAGAGGTGGAGGTTGCAGTGAGCCAAGATCACACCACTGCACTCTAGCCTGGGCAACAGAGCAAGACTCAGCCTCAAAAAAGAAAAAAAAAATGTAACTTGCCCAAACTAGGCCGGGCGTGGTGGCTCACGCCTGTAATCCCAGCACTTTGGGAGGCCGAGGCGGGTGGATCATGAGGTCAGGAGATCGAGATCATCCTGGCCAACACGGTGAAACCCCATCTCTACTAAAAATACGAAAATTAGCTGGGCGTGGTGGCGGGCACCTGTAGTCCCATCTATTCGGGAGGCTGAGACAGGAGAATGGCGTGAACTCGGGAGGCGGAGCTTGCCGTGAGCAGAGTTTGCGCCACTGCACTCCAGCCTGAGTGACAGAGTGAGACTCTGTCTCAAAAAAAAAAAAAAAAAAATTTAGCCAGGTGTGGTGGCATGTGTCTGTAGTCCCAGCCACTTGGGAGGCTGAGGTGGGAGCGTGGCTTGAGCCAGGGAGGTTGAGTCTGCCATGAGCCATGGTGGTGCAAATGCACTCCAGCCTGGGCCACAGAGCAAGACCCTGCCTTGAAAAAAAAATTTTTTTAAAATTTATAGCTGTAATTTCGGAAGCAGTGTGTGCACTGATGCCTGCTCCAAGCATGCTCTTGGTCTGGATGCGGCAGGATTTCAGTTCCAGGAAGCAGCTATTCTCTGCGCTAGAAGGCCGCTTCTCCCCAACAGAAAGGGCAGCAATGCTTCACCAGGTGTGTGCCTAACAGTTCTCAATCCCACTGGGAGAGCTGCGAGGGAAGTATGGCTCATTCGGAATGGACACACACAGGCGGCTCCAGTACAGAGAGGGGCTCTAGGCCCTGAAATGCTGTGCTCCTCGCAGGACACACAACTCCACGTGACGGGGATAACACGCGACACAGCTCCTGCATCGATGCTCCCCAGTTCCTGCCTGGCTGCTCCCCCAGCTCCTGCCTAGGTTCTCCCCTATCTCCTGGCCTTATGCTCCCCAGTTCCTGCCTTTGTGCTCCCCCAGCACCCCCAACCCAGAGTGCTCCTTCCCTCTGGCCAGGCCCCCTTCCCAGCCCCGCCCCTTCGGGGCTCAGGCGGGAACCGAGCTGGCTTTTTCCTCCCAACCAGAGCAGCTCCCTCTGGTTCCCAGGTTGCCTGCCCTTCCAGCTGGGAACACCGGCCTTGCAGGGAGGGGCGGGGGTGCTCACCACGAGGCGGCCACACAGGGCGCGAAGGGGTCCCAAGGCCCACCCAGGAGGAGCGCCTGTCTTTCCGTGGCGGGCTGCGCGCGCTGCCCACGCGGCCACGCTTGGAGCCTGGCAGGAGGCCGCCATCCCGGCCACGGCCGCTGGAGGGCGCCCCCGCACCGCTCCTGCCTGCCGGTTCCCGCGGGAGGGCGCCTGTGGCGGGCGCCGGAGGTTGATCTGCTGGTTCACGCCAGGATTGCGAACCGGCGGCCGGAGCGGGAGGCCGCAGAGCCGAGTTCAGGTCGCAGTCCTGACCCACCTGGCGGCGACTTCCTGTCCCGCGGCTGTGCTGCAGCTCTCCAGGTTGGGGTGAAAATGCAGAAACGGTCCCGTGGGCTAAGTCACGGACGTTCGTTTCTCACAGCGCCGCGTGCCTGCCTGCAGGCAACCGAGCCACGCACGCCGAGGCCGCCCCACCGCCCGGGGCCTGAACGCGCCGGCCCAGACCGGCAGCCCCCTCGGATCCTAAGACCTCTGCACCGCAGCGCAGGTGTGGGGGTCCTCAGCCGGCGCCATCCAAGCAAGAGCCGAGAGCGCGAGCGCCACGCCTTCCCCCACCCTCTGCCCTGCGCCCCTGGCTGGCGGTCCCTCCTGCAGCGGCTGGCCTGGAATTCGGGCTGCGGAAGGGGCTGCACCCACGCGGGGCTCACGCCATGGATGTGGGCGCTGGGAGGGTCTCCGGCTGTTTCCTGGTGCTGCCCAAGAAGCAGGTCCCTCGGCCAAACCAGCCCCTGTTCTGGTGCCCGCCGGTGCCCTCAGCCTGCGGGCCTAGAGGCCAGAGTGCTGGCGGATGGGCAGGTCCTGACCACGCCGTCCTCCCTGGGAGCTTACTGGTGAGACGCTCGTCTGCCTCAGGGGGCCCAATAATGGTCACTTGACATAAAGGGACAGAGGTGGTCTGTCCAGGGTGACGGTGACCACTGTCCTGGCATGTGACGGAGCCCAGGCCCTGGGCAAGCGCCATGCTGAGAGGGGCTGGCCGCCCGCTGCCGGTGGCCTGACTCAAGAAACCTCGCTCCCCTGAGCGGCAGCTGGAGGAGAGGCAGCGGCAGTGGACCTCTGGGGACGGATTGGAGGGGTGGCCCTGCGGCCCTTGCTTGGGCAGGAGGGACGCTGCAGCAGCTGCTGGAGCTCCCAGGCAGGGGCTGTCCCTCGGTCAGCTGGGTCACAGAGCAGCCGGCGCCTGCGTCATTCTCAGCCTGCCCGAGGGGGAGGCTTCCGCTCCAGGTGGGTGACCCGGGGCCCTTGCTATTACCCCCACAATGTTTCCTCTTTCCTCTCTGCCTCCTCCAGCCTCCCTAGGCAGCCTCCTCTCTTTCTCTGCTGGAGCCTCCCAGCTTCCGGAGGCCTCCTTGTGAGAGCAATAAAATGTCTTTGAAAGGAGGCTGGGATGTCCAAAGGGTCATCACAGGGCTGGGGGCTGAGAAGCCCAGAGGTGGCTGGGTAGGAGACACAGGCCTTGGCGTGCTTTCAGGGGACACACAACAGGGACAGTCCCCACTGACTTTCCTCCCACTCCCCCTCCACTAACTCACCTCCCTCTTGTCAACACGGGGGGTCTCCTGCCCTGGAACATTCAGGGAAAGAGGTGCGTCTGAACCCCGCCTGGGGAGACAGACGCCCTCAGGCTGTCCTCTTGGCTCCGCTCCCCTCTTTCCTCCTGTTCACCGCTCCCAGCCACCCCGATGGGGCCTGTTTAATTGATTCAATTTGTTCAACAGTAAAAACACTCCACAGATGTCAGCCTCCCAGCACCCCACCCCTGGGGAGCCGCAGACACCTGCCAAGCCTCTGGGGCTGGGAGTCCTTCCATGGGCCACTAACACCAGGATCTGGGGGAGGCCTCTGGGCCTGGGAGCTCGCGTGGGTGCCCCCGCTCACCAGACCAGAGCAGCCACTTCAGCCCAGGGACTGCTCCGTGAATGGCACCAGTGGCGTTCTGAACAGTGATCTGATGCAAATATGTCCTTCTGAAGGATTTAATGTTTTTAGACTCCCAGGTCTGGGAGGATGACCTTGGAGATGAGGTCAAGCTACCATCCCAGGCTCAGGCCACTCACTGTCAGGGTCCCACCTTCTTCATCAACCTGGGCTCGGGGGGTTTTCCAGGTAATCAGTGCTGGGAGGGGGACTGAGGGCTCCCAGGGTCCTGATCCTGTCCCCTGCAGGGGAGAGGCCCCTCGCCTACAGATTGGGAGCCCTGCATCCACAGCTTCAGCGCGGTGGCCCGTCCTACTCCCAGGGATGTGTGTGGCCACAGCCACGCTGGGAGATGCTCTCAGGTGTTGTCTAAGGGAAGACGTGGGCCTGGAGGTCAGGAGACCCAGGCTGAACCCCTGACGCCCCTGCCCGGACCACAGCCCTCTCTCCCTGTGAAGGTCCCTGGTCCCTGGGGCCACCACTTTCCACCCCAGAGGGAGGCCCCTGCGATTGATTGGTTGGCTGAGTGACTGAAGCGGGGGACGGTTTAGGGGAGCATTTGCACAGCTGGCCAGGCTGTGACTGTGGGGGCCTCTGCCCACCCCCATCCAGCCCCACCTTGGACGAAGACGCCCCAGCCGTGATTAGGAGAAGGCTCACCCTGAAAACGGTCTCAGGTTAGAGTTACCAGGACATCTGCCTCTCCAGCTTGGGGGTCTCTCACGTGCCCCTCTCAGGCAAGATCGGGCCTATCATTGGCTTAGGTTTTAGGAAGGTCCCAAGCTCATTTGCCAAGGGCTGAGCTTCCCCATAACTCCCAGGACACAGGGAGAAGACAAGGGGAGGGAAACTGAGGGACGGAGATGAAAGCGCTCGTCCCAGCGAAGGACCCGCGCTTCAGGCGCTGGGCCCTGGCGGCAGTGAACAAGCTGGGGGTGGGGCGTCGGGCCGCGCCCCCGCCCTCCGGACCCCCAGCGCGGACCCCTGCTCCGGGGCGGGGGCGCTCACAGTCGCGCGAACCCGGAGGTGCGGAGAGAACAAAAGGGGTCCCGCCCCCTCCCCCGGGCCGGCCCGCCGCAGCCAATCGGCGCGGCCGCTATCGCCTCCGCTCTCTGATTGGCTGTGCGGCGGCCAATCGGGTGAGGGGGCCGCCAGCCCGTGCGGCCCCACGTGGGGCGGCGCGAGGGGCTGTTAGAGGACCGCAGCGGGCGGGGCGCGTGGTTCGATCGCGCGCTACGCGCCTCGGGGACGCGGTCCGCGCCACCCCCAGCCGTCCCTGCCGTCCCGAGGCCCCCAGCGAGCGGCGCCGTGGCTTCGGGCGCGCGGGGCTCGGGGCCATCGCCGGGTGCTGTGCGGTTCCCGGCTCGGAGGCGCTGGGCCGGCGTCGCGGCTGCCCCCTGCCCACGCGGGAGGGAAGCGAGCGGCGCTCAGGGACCAGGAGCGAAGGCCTTGCCACCTGGCGAGGCGGGGAGGCCAAGGTGGGCTGTGGAAGGAAGAGGCGGGCCTGCCGCTGGTGGTGGTGGGATCAATTCATTCATTCATTGAGTCCGTCATTGACACCTCCTACTCCAGGGCCCTCGGGACACAGACAGCGGTGGCCTCAGCGGAGGCTTGGGGGCTAGCCTCCCCCTAGTTTCCATTAGTCTCCCCTCCAAACTACTTCAAGTGGAACGTACAAGCATGTTTTTTGATATGGGCAATTGACACAGTCTTACATTTTTATGGCACCCTCAGACAGGGTATTTGAGGAGAATTGAATAAATGGAAAATACGTGAATTAAAGGAGAGCTGTGCAGTACCCAGGGCCAGCAACAAAGGGGAGCTGTTACCCCCTGAGACCTGGAGGGCAGCTGGAGCCACAGGAGAGGCCGTCTCCAGGAGCCCTGACCTTGGAGAGGGACACAGCGACCCGGCAGGGAGGAGCTGCTGCTGTACACTGACCTCACCCCTCCTGACCGCTTGGCTTGTCTACCGGCTACGCATTGGCTGAACTAGGTGGAGGCCAGGGAGCAACGAGGCCCCATGGATCCTGTACCTACAGTCAGCTTCCCGGGGCACAGAGCAGGGGCTGGCATGGGGCAATGGGAAGATGTCCAGCACCTGTTTTGAAGTGTGAATAAAAGCATCGTAGAAAATGTTGCTGTTTTGCTTTGTTTTGTGGATGTGTAGCCCATGCAGAGGCAGCCTAAGATGGGGCACGACCAGGCTGGGCCCCGCCTCTTGCAGATCCACTAGGAGCCACCCCAGAGCCAAGGGGACCTTCCTTGGAGGGTTTCCCATCCTGAAAGTGATGAGTCACAAAACGAGGCAGGACTGAGGACGAGGAATGCCCCGTGTCAGCGCACGTGCACGGTGTTGTTCAGGCCCTCTTCCTGGGGGTCCTCCTGGATGCTCCAATGCTTGCCCATCTTGGCAGCTGTCACAAGCCACTGCTGGGACTGTAATTCCCCAGGGCAGGGACTGATCCTGTTTGCTGTTGCCCCTTCATGGGGCCTGTATCTGGAAGGAGGATGAATCTGCCCGTGTGAGGCCTGAGATGGGGGCTTCCCTCTGAGGCAGGGGACATGTATTCACTCATCAAACCTTCTCAGGGGAGCCTTTGTCTGCCAGGTTGGGCTTAGCCCCAGGAGCCCAAGGAAGAAAGGATGTAGTTCAGACTTGGAGACATGTGTGACCCAACACTGCAGCCATGCACAAGTTCCTGATAAGGTGGCTCGGGCCCAGGTCCCCTGAGAGGCTCAGGAGGGGGAGGACTCTTGGATAATGAGGAGAGAGGGGGTGGCACTTGAGGTGGCTTTGAAGGGCAAGGAGGAGTAGGAGTGGTGGAGAAGCTGAAGAAAAGCAGGGGGCAAGGAGGTGCCACCATGGGGATCAGGGACGTGGCATCCGGGGGAGTGTGGCTGTGCACAGCTGGGCCTCTGCCGCAGGCATCAGGAGGCTGGGGCGAGGCACCCCTGTCCCTGGCTTCTCCGCCTGTGGTATGGCGATGATGATAGGGTTGTTGGGCAGGGTGAGGGGATGTAGGTGACGTGCAGCACACTGTCTTGGTAATTACAGGCTCGATAAATATACATGAGCTGTCATTATAAGCATTTGTTGCAGTTGAGGAGGTGGTGGTGGGCTTGGCTGGAGTGAGCTGCCTGTGGGGGGCTGTGAGGTTAGTGCGAGGATGGCCGTCTTTCAGGGACATGGAGGCTGCCTCTCGTTCCTGCAGCGCATGTGGCAGACATCACTAATCCATCAGCCACTCTCTCCCACGGAGCCCAGCGGTGGCCTCGGGCCCTCAGATCATTCTCCAGGCAGCCCCTGCTAATCAACCACAGCTGGCACACAGATGGCCCTGCCTGCCATCTCCAATTCCACCGACATCAAAAACTGGGATCCGGGCTGGGGGTGGTGGATCATGCCTGTAATCCCAACACTTTGGGAGGCCAAGGTGGGCGGACTGCTTGAGCCCAAGGAGGAAGAAGCTGCAGTAAGCCGTGACTGCGCCACTGCATTCCACCCTGGGGAATAGAGGGAGTCCGTCTCAAAAAATAAAATAAAAGGCCGGGCGCGGTGGCTCACGCCTGTAATCCCAGCACTTTGGGAGGCTGAGGCAGGTGGATCACGAGGTCAGGAGATCCAGACCATCCTGTCTAACACGGTGAAACCCCATCTCTATTAAAAATACAAAAGATTAGCCGGGCGTGGTGGCGGGTGCCTGTAGTCCCAGCTACTCGGGAGGCTGAGGCGGGAGAATGGCGTGAACCCGGAAGGCAGAGCTTGCAGTGAGCCGAGATCGTGCCACTGCACTCCAGCCTGGGCAACAGAGTGAGACTCTGTTTCCAAAAAAATAAAAAAATAAAAAAAAAGTGAAGTAGGTGCACCAATCTTTTTTTTTTTTGAGACAGAGTTTTGCTCTGTCGCCCAGGCTAGAGTGCAGTGGCACAATCTCGGCTCACTGCAAGCTCTGCCTCCCGGGTTCACCCTATTCTCCCGCCTCAGCCTCCCGAGTAGCTGGGACCACAGGCACCCGCCACCGCGCCCAGCTAATCTTTTTTTGTATTTTTAGTAGAGATGGGGTTTCACTGTGTTAGCCAGGATGGTCTGGATCTCCTGACCTCGTGATCTGCCTGCCTCGGCCTCCCAAAGTGCTGGGATTACAGGCGTGAGCCACCGCGCCTGGCCAGGTGCACCAATCTTAAGCTGCAGATCACTGGACTTTCACATTCGTGCACATCCGTGCAACCGCCAGCCCGGTCCAGAGAACTCCCAGCCCTTAGAGGCTCCCTCGTGCCCCCTCCCATGCAAGCCCAGGAGCGCTCTGCCACCCATCCCGGAGACTGCTCTGCCTGATCCTTAGTCCGCGCCAGCAGAGCTGTACAGCCGTCCTCTCCGAGGCTGGCGCCTTCACGCCACACAATGCTGCCCGTGCTCACTGCATTGCTGCGTCCTGCGTGTGTCTGTGGTTGTTCTCTTGCGTTGCTGTGTTGTAGTCCATTGTATGGATGTAACACTTTATCTACCAAGTCTCTTGTTGACAGACATTTAGATTATCTCCAAAGTCTGTGAATAGTGTTGCTACAAACATTCTAGTGTGTGTCTCCTTGTGCCCGACAGTGGGGGTTTCTGGTGGATGTTAGCAGACACTGCTAGCTCTGCAAGCCACTGTCCTGACCGCTGCTCCCACCCGCAGTGTGGGTGGGTTCTGATTGCCCCACATGGTGCCAGCACTGGGGACTGTCTGTCCTTTCCTATAGGCCAATCGGGGGGTGGGGGAGACACTCTACCTCTCCATCCTTCTGATGCCCCTGTGGATGGGAGACTTACTGGGGGGCCTGTGCCCCCACACAGCCACCAGCAAGCGCTGGGGCCGCTCCTGGAACACCAGCCTCAGTTCCTTCCTCATGTTTGAAACCCAAGTTCAGAAAATGAAACGTGGCTGGGTGTGGGTCACTGGAAGGCCCCGAGGCCTGCAGCCTCAATGCAAGGTCAGGAAGGGGGCAGAGAAGACAATGGGGTGGAAGAAAAGGGCTGGGAGGGGGACTCTGGGCATTGGGGGAGGGTAGAGAGAGGGACAGGAGTGGCTGGGGCCGGGGTAGCCGAGGAAGGGGTGGGGAGGGTGGTGGGTCACGGAGTCAGCACTCACCAGGACGAGGTTCACCTGCCCAGGGTTCACTGGGTACCTGCTTGAGCCCAGACCCCCAGCCGGGAGCTGAGGATATCATGTGAATACCAGGCAGGGGCCCTGCCCTCACATTAGTGACAGTCCTGGGGAGGCAGCAATCAAATAAACCCACAATAAATACATAATTACAGGCTGTGCTGAGCGCTCTGTGCTGTGAGAGGGGCTGGCTTGGCAGCAACATCAAGCTGAGAGTAGACCTCAACCTCAGAGACCACAGGGCCCTGGGAGTCTCAAAGGGGGGTCCCAGCAGAACGGCGGGGGGGAGAAGAAGTGGAGAGTGGGACCCTCAAAGGGGGGGTCCCAGCAGAACGAGAGCAGGGAGAAGTGGAGAGTGGATGTTGGGTGTGGGCCAGCAGGGCTGGTCACAGAGAAGAGCCAAAGAGACTGAGGGTAGACTGATGGGTAACCAACATAGACATCAGGATTAGATTCAGGCTTCACAGAAACAGCACAGAAGTCGTAGTGACTTAAGGAAGGGGGATGTTTCTTATTCTTTTACTTAAGGCCTCCAGGGCCACTCTGATGCCTCTAGGATCATCAGGAACCCTGGCTCCTCTAGCTTGTTGCTCTGCCATCCTTCACTGTGGCTTCTTTCTCATGATCCAAAATAGCTGCTTAGGATCCAGCCATCACACCTACATTCCAACTAGCAGGAAGGAAGAGCACAGCCTTATGTTTAAGGATACTTTCTGCTGCACGTGACATTGCTGTTCACCCTCGTTGCCCAGAACTCAGACACATGGCTGCATCTAGTTGCAAGGCACGCTGGGAAATGTAATTTTCACTCTTAATGGCCAGGTGCCCAGTTACGAGTTGGGGCTCTGTTACTGAGGAAAAAGCGGGGACAGGTACTGGGCAATATAGTTCCCCCCCACCCCCGGTAACTGGAAAGGAAGAGCTGATGCTGGAGAAGAGGCGCCAGCAGGCCCAGTGCTCAGCCACGTCTCCCATGAGCCATCCTGCTGCTGTCACCTTCCATGTCATTTTCATGGACAAGGAAATCAGGTCTCAGGAAGGCCAGTGGCCTGCCTGAGGGCCCACAGCAAGAGGCAGGCCAAGAGAAGCAGAACCGGCTAGGAACATTCCAGAACTTCCATCTATCTGGTGGGGAGAGGGCTCCAGACCATGAGGCCCCCACTGCTGTCTTCCCCGAGACACTCCTTCTTTCCGGGTCCCTGGATGAAAAAGGCTGTGACGTCACCACCTTAAGCAGCACACAGGTGTGGCCACAGACCCCTTCCCATCTTCCTGGAGCACAGCAGGCACAGCAGGGACCCACCACAGGGTGGCCACGCTCTGGATGGCCAGGTGTGCCCTCAACACTGGCAGCCCCCTGCCTCACGCAGAAGCCCAGGCCGAGGAGAGAAGAGGCTGGACCTGCCACTGCCCTCTATCCTGCCCTCAGCCCCATTTGGGCCCAAGGATAGCATCCTCCCCAGCACCAGAGTTGGGTGTGATCCTCCCACCTTGGCCTCCCAAAGTGTTGGGATTATGGGTATGAACCACTGCACCCGACCCAGAGCGTTTTCTATGCATGCACAAGGGCTGCATTCACTCACACACGTATGGAACAGGACGGAATGTGGGTTTTGTGCTGCTACTGGCCCTGCTCACCTCCCTGGCTGAGTGGCTGGGCCGTCATTCATACTGGATCAGTGAGGTAGACCCTGCTGATGGAGGAGTGTCCAGTCCAGTCTTTTGAGGAGGTCTTTGTGTTGGGTACTTGTGGGTACTCGGGGGGGAGGACTCCCGTCCCCCTTCGTCAGGCCTCAGTCGTTCCCACCTGCCACCACAGTGTTTGTGGGGCCCCGGGAACCCAGAGACACTCAGAGCACACACTGTCACCAGGGGCAGTGGATCCATCGCTACTCTGTGCAGGGCAGGGGCTGAGAGCACCAAGACCCTTAGGATTCTAACTGAAGGAATCAGCTCAAACGCCGTCAGCACAAAAGGAAGCTATGGCCGGAAAGGCCTGGGCGGCGTGGGCCTCTGGGCCTCTGGGCCTCTGAGCCTCCGAGGACCCAGCTGTCGTCAGGGTTCTGTCTGTCTTTCCACTTGTCTCTGTGTTTCTGTCCCTTGCTCTTTCTCCCTGTGTGTGTTGGCCTCTGCTTCTCCACTGCAAACACGTGTTTCCCTATTCTTCAAGGGGAATAGGGGAGGAGAATGGGGGCATGGCTCAGACAGGGCCAGGTCGGCTCGCTTCCAGTGTGGCTACCGAGTAGGAGTGCAGGGTCCTTCCTCATTCCAGGAAAGGGCTTGCTCCCCTGGGCCAGGGGACACGGCCGTGTGATCGTCCAGGCCCGGGGGTCGGGTAACAACTCTACTAGAACCACGTGGGTCAGGTGAGGGCAGTTCCAGCACGAAACAGGGGCATCTGTTACCAGGAGAAGGTGGCAGGAAGGCCTTGGGGCAGACACGGCAGCGGGGGCCACACTCGGCCCCCGTGGGAGCCACACATTTCCCCTGACCCACTCCCACGACTCCAGGGCACCGTGCAGCCATCTGATGATCAATAAAAACACTCCCTTTCCCCCCAGGAGATGAGCTGGGCGGCTCAGCTGTGCCTGCTGTCTGGGATGTCCACCTTCCTGAGTTCGGGTGAGGGTCTGCCGGGCGTCTGCAGCTGTGGAGTGGACGCTGGAACTACCCACTGCTAACCTACCTGACACCCAACAGCAGGGGAAGAAGAGGAAAGAAAATAAAATAGAAAGCACATAGCCCCAGGCAAGAAAGTCGAGGCGCCCTCCTTTTCCTCTGGGGGCCCCAAGCTGCCACTGGTATCGGCATTGCCTTCACTCCTGACCTTACCACCGCTGCCCTCGTCTCCAGCAAGAGCCTCGCACAGGTGGCTTCTTTCCCTGGTGGGATGACCGAACTTTTAAAAAAAATTTTTTTTTGAGATGGAGTCTCGCTCTGTCGCCCAGGCTGGAGTGCAGTGGCACGATCTTGGCTCATTGCAAGCTCCGTCTCCCGGGTTCACGCCATTCTCCTGCCTCAGCCTCCCGAGTAGCTGGGACTACAGGCGCCAGCCACCAGGCCCGGCTAATTTTTTTCTATTTTTTAGTAGAGATGGGGTTTCACCATGTCAGCCAGGATGGTCTCAATCTCCTGACCTCGTGATCCGCCCACCTTGGCCTCCCAAAGTGCTGGGATTACAGGCGGGAGCCACTGTGCCTGGTCCCAGTTTTATTCCTGGGGTGTCTGAGCCCCTGTGGCTCTTGCCCTCTTGGGGTTGCAGAGGTCTCCCGCCAGTGCATCAGCATGTCGTAGGTGTACGTTCTGAGGTCCCCAGCTCCACCCGTCTCCTTGCCCAACTGCAGGCCGGAATGGCAACCACACACCCTCTTTCTCCTACTCACCTTGTGGCCCATGGAACATGAAATGGCTCCAGATCCCTGGGCTGTAACGATGTCTCCCCGTGGGTGCTGCACGGCAGACCAGTGCAGCTCTGAGTCAGGACGGGAGGCAGAGCTTAAGGGCACTAGTGTGACAGTGAGAGGCTGAAACTCCTCCTCCAACTCCTGCCTCCTGAAGCCAGGACTGGAGCTTTTCCTGGCTTGTGGGGTGCCCTGCCTCAGACCAACCAGGTTGCATGGCTCCTGGGCTGCAGATGCCAGGGACAGAGGGTGAGATGGGGAATGGCTGTGACTTAGCTCCTGGCTGTGCTTGTGCCTGGAAATGAGTTCCTTGGTTGCAGGGGCAGGGTGGGGTTCCCTGAGCAGGTCTAGAGGTTCTCTAGGCCCATGGCATGACCTCATCCAGAGCAGAGCTTATTCCTGATGAGGACAAGTTGCTGCCCATGCCATAACGGAAGGGACCAAAGTCATCAATGTGCCCCACAGCACTGCCAGGTGCCCGTGAAGCATGGCACCCTGCTGGGATTTCAGGTCCGTTGTGGCTTCTACAATTGAGCCTTCCTCAGTGGGAATCCAGACCAGCCACAGGGAGGGCCGTTTCAAGAGGGAGTGCCTGTGCTTGACCTTCCTCTCTGCACACTGCGAGCCCGTGGGGTGAGCTGCAGATTGGCTGGGGGGGAGGGAGGTGATGGGCACCCCCGGGTGGGTCATGTGCCCACCTGACTCTGAAAAACTCTTCTGCAGTGGGGCTTCTGGTGGGCTCACACGGGCCTACACATGCTCAGCCTCCAGCCACAGCCCAAATGCCTGCTGACCCTCCTCTTCCTCGAACTCCTCCAACTCCTGTCCCCGACTGGTTTGCCCTGTGTTTTTTCCAAGTCCCTCACGTTTGGCCAGATGCCCAGGCACTGCCCAGGACTCTGTAGGCCTCGGCCTTGAACATGGAGACGTCCACTCAATGTGCTGCACTCTGGGAGGGTTGTCCTGCAAGGTGGGGCTGTGAGGGTGCAGCCATCCACTTGGGGCTGGGGCTGGCTCTGTAAAGGAGGCTGCTGCCTCCTCGGTCAACAGGTGATGAGGCTTCGCAGAGGCCATGGGTTTGAGGTGAGGGAGGGTCAGTGTAGCAGGAGTGGCCTCCAGCAGCTTCCTGAGCCTTAAGGGCCTGCATGGGCTCTTTCTGCCCCGTGATGGATGACTGGGTGCAGCTGCGTGCAGCCAGGTGGGCTGGGGAGACCCACTTTATGTTGGACAGCTGGCTTTCAAGGTCAACCGCCGTTGTGAAGGCGGGCTGCCAGATTTAATGAATAAAATACAAAGCTGGGTGCGGGGCTCATGCCTGTAATACCAGCACTCTGGGAGGCTGAATCCAGGGTTCGAGGCTAGCCTGGGCAAAATAGCGAGACCCTCCCCCGCCAAACTCTACAAAAAAATAAAATTAAAAAATTAGCTGGGCTTGGCACGTGCCTGTAATCCCAGCTACTTGGGAGGCTGAGGTGGGAGGATGGCTTGAGCCCAGGAGGTGGAGGCTGCAGTGAGCCAAGATCCCACCACTGCACCCCATCCTGGGCGACAGAGCGAAACCCTCTCTGTCTCTAAACAAATAAAACAGGACGTCAGGTTAATTTAAATTTCAGATAAAGAATGAATAATTTTTAGTATAAGCATACCCCTGATATTGCATGGAACATGCTTTTGTTACAAATTACTTGTTCTTCACCAGCAATGTGAATGACACCTCAGGCTCTACAACCCCATCCTGGACTCCGAAGTTCTGCCGCGGCGAGAGCCCAGCGCTGGGAGAAGAGAACGTGGCGGGTTAGCTGCAGGAGGCCGCAGGAAAAGCTGTGCGCTCATTGGGTCCCAGTGGTGAACTCTGATTGGCTCAGCTTATGTCACATGCCCGACCCAAAGCCAATCACGGTGGCAGAGGAAGCAGAGGTGTTGTGATTGGCCTGGCGTGGGTCATGTGACCGGAGAGTGGCATGGCTGTCCTCGGATCCACGTGCGTGCATGGCGTGTCTCTGCCCCAGAGGAGGCTCTTCCTGCAGCTTCTGGGGCCCTGGGACAGTGGCCTCGGACACCCTCTGAGGGCTTTGGCTTTTCGGAGCCCTGCGTGTCTGGGGGCAGCACTGTTTGCCTGCTGATCCTTCAGAATCCCCGGCTGCTCCACAGTGCTCACAGCCGAGAGCAGAGGCTGCCTGGGCTCTGGTTGCGCAGCAGTGGGCGCTCGTCCCCTTCCTGTCCGGGCCCCCCGACATCACCTCTGGCCTTCTGCACCCTCGCTGTAGATTGGCTTTCCAACTCCACCCCCCAAAAAGACGGGCCGTAGTGGGGGCTTCCAGGAGCACCAGGCCAGGGGTGCTTTGCCCAGGACCAGAGTGGGGACTAACCGGGCCAGTGGTGAAAAATATAATTAGCCTGTCAGTGTGGAGTCTTCCCTCACTGCTCTGCTCACCGCCGGCCCCTGAGCCAGCCTGTTTCTTGTAAGTGAAAACAGATTTCCTGACAAGGGGCAAGATCATAAACTTGTTCAAAGGCTCCCAAATAAAAAGGGCGGTTTTAACTTTTCCCTCTCAGCAAACCAAATTGTGAGTAGGCTTCTAGACCATTCCGTCACCGCAGGAAGGGTTTGAGAGCCTGAGGCTCCTGACTGCTGGGAACCTTAGGGGAGAGGGGCTCTGGGAGGCGTCTGGTTTAACCCACCCCACTGCCATCTGGAACACTTTTTCTCAGTGAAGTCCCAGCCCCTAGCCCCAGCCTCAGTGAGACCAGAGTTCC
Organism: Homo sapiens; assembly: GCF_000001405.40. Classification (NCBI taxonomy): domain Eukaryota; kingdom Metazoa; phylum Chordata; class Mammalia; order Primates; family Hominidae; genus Homo; species Homo sapiens. The sequence goes on along the minus strand of NW_025791805.1, from coordinate 127,560 downwards.
CACTGGCCTGCTAGCCAGTCTGCCCTGGGGCTGAGGGCCCAGGCCTAGAGGCTGTTCTCTGAGTCACTGTTTTCTGAGGTGACGCCAGTGGAAGACGAGTCCTACCTAGCAAGCCTCTAGTCCTTCCTTTCTCTGCAAGCTGCCTTAGCTCAACTTTTGTCTTCGGATTAAACTAGTTAAAGGAAGCAACTGTGGATGCCCCCCAGAAGTGCATTCTACTAGGGGCTGAGCTTCCTGGAAGGGCAGCAGGACTGCTCCTCTCCCTGGGGGCCTGGAGCCAGCTTCTTTGGCTTGCAGCTGCTCTGTACTGAGGAAGGGCCCTGTCCTGTACCCTTCGTGTGGCTTCTCGGAGTTCCTGGTGTGCTGGGTGCCAGGGCTTCTGTGTGCTGGCCTTCTTCCCTACTGGGCTCTGAGTTTCTTGGGGGTGTGGGCTTTGTGTAATCTTCTCAACACTGCATCCTGGTGCCTGGCACACAGTAGGTCTTGAGTTTGTATTAATACTTGTTGAAGTGACGGACAGATGGATGGGCAGATGGACACAGGAATGGTTGTCAGAGAAGGAAACAAGAAGTGGCCTTGCCAAGAACAGATCACGTCATCAGGGGTTGAGAACCAGCATGCACTGTCCCCTGCTTTGATGGGACAGGGACATCACAGGCCTATTCTGGCAGGATGACAGATTCTAGGATATCTGGGATAGGCTGGAGGTGTTGAGTTTCCCCACCAGCCCTGGGTATCGTGAGGGACCCTGCTGTCCTCTCTGTCCAGGGAGACAGGACTGGAGATTTTCCCTGAACAGTAGGTGTTGGCCCAGGAAGCCTAGGGTGCTGTGTCAATCCCCTGCCTTTCCTTTCTGTAAATGGGTGCAGTCAGTCTCGGGAACCTCCAAAAAACAGACAGGAAACGCCCATCAGAGTGGGCCCCGCTACTCTAAAGCACAGGATAGAGCCTGCCTGAGAACTCAGTCTCAGCAAAGGAAAGGAGCAAAAGACACCAGAGGGATGTGGAATGTAAGAAAACAGATGCTTTTCCCAGTTCCGCAGCGACATCAGGCCCGAGACCATGTGGCATACTCATGGCAAACCCTGCTCTGGGCTCCGAGTGGCGGCTGTCCATGTCTGGTCTTTTTTTTTTTTCTGAGACAGAGTTTCGCTCTTACTGCCCAGGCTGGAGTGCAATGGCGAGATCTCAGCTCACTGCAAACTCTGCCTCCCGGGTTCAGGCGATTCTCCTGCCTCAGCCTCCCAAGTAGCTGGGATTACAGGCATGCACCACCACGCCTGGCTAATTTTGTATTTTAAGTAGAGACGGGGTTTCACCATGTTAGCCAGGATGGTCTCGATCTGACCTTGTGATCCACCCGCCTCGGCCTCCCATGCTGGGATAACAGGCCTGAGCCACCGTGCCCAGCCTTAGTGTCTGCTCTTGGTCTGCTGCTTCTTCCTGCTTTGGGAGGCCTTTGCTCAGGCCCTCAGGAGTCCAGGGGGCTGAATGGAAGCGGAAGTGTGTCTGGCCTTCGGAAGTGATGTAAGTGGCCCAAAAGCGTTGACTGCGGACCTGATCTCTGTGACGAGACACTGACAGAGCGGAGGCTTGGAGGCCAGCCCTGCTCCTCTTTCTGCCTGAACTGGGCCTCTCAAGCCTCCCTTGGGTGTGGGTGGGGACACAAGGCCTGGGGCTTGAGGTTGTAGGCCAAGGGAAAGGGGCTGAGACCCCCATGCTGACTGGGCTCTGCCTGTGCATCCATCCAGAAATCCCTTGGGCCACCTGTGAGCCTCATCCTGGTCTTATAGGTGGGGAAAGAGACTCAAGGTCTGTATTTCACAGACACGGACACTGAGGTCCGAGCCACTGCAAAGTCAGGCTGCACCTGCAGGCCTGGCCCCGGGGCCGCACCTCTACCCCACTGACCCGTTGCCCGGCCCAGCTCCCCACCTGAGGCAGGGGCAGGCCTGGTCCCCCTGGCAGCTGTGCTGTGGTCCCAGGTGGGCACTGAGTGGTGGTTGGGCCTTGAACAACCCACCCGCCCGTCCGTGGGAAGCTCGCTCCCCTAGACGCGTCCTCGTCACCATTATGGCTCCAGGTAGCCTAAGGCGGGTTACAGAGGCTGCACCGATAGGGAGGGCACGGGAAGCTCAAGGCTGGGTCCTCTGGCTCTTAAAGGAGGGAGGTGCTGGCTTCTCACTGGGACTTCTGGGGAGCGGGAAAGGGTGGCTGTTGGGGGGAGAGTGGAGGCCGAGGGGCCCAGGTTCCTGGTAGGGGCTTGGCGGGAGATGGGGCCGTTCAGAGTTATTCCCCTGGGGTGCTGCCTCTGCTTGTTTTCTTAGCCCGCACCCAGGGGCCAGAGGCGGTTCCCTCCTCACCCTGCCTGGTACAGACTCAGGAGACCATTGAGGGGCCCACCCAGCATGGGCGTCCGGCCAGCTCCAGTGCCCGGTGACCCCGCGGCGGCTGAGCGGTGCGGCTGCCTCTCCCCCACTCCCCGCCAACCCCCAGCAACCTCGCCAGGCCGGGGATGAACAATTAAAGCCCCCTGGTCCCCAGTTGGTTTGTGGTATTAAAAACGAATTGCGATCAGCCAGGTTGTCATTTCTACCTGATAAAACATCACTTTTATTGATCTCACTCACCCAGCGCCAGCATTCATCTTGCTCCAGCATTTCACATAATGGCCCGTTTGTCTTGATCAAAGTGTAGTCTTGCATGTTTAACCCTTGGGGCTCCGCAGCTGTGCATGCCCAGCCCCACTGACTGTCCTTCCCACAACGCCCTGCCCTTTGCCCAGGGCCTGTTCTGGGGGCAGGCAGTTCTGGAAGGCAAGGATGGCCCTGTCTGAGATAAGGTGGGAGGACGAGGGGCAGAGAGGTGATGGAGGGGGAGAGTAGGACGGCGGTGTTGCGGGGCCAGAGCCAGGCGTGAGTCCTGCCCTTAGATTCAGCAGTGTGCCCTGCAGGGCTCCTGGGGAGGTCAGACCCTCGAGGTCGGGGGCCCACCTAAGCCTGCCGTCAACCCCACTCGCTAAGCCCGGGTCACCTGCCTCCTGGGCTCACTGGTGGCACCCCCTTCAGCCAGGCCCCCTCCCCTCTGGCCGTTTCCGGCCCTCAGCCCCACCTGGACCCCTAGTCCGGCCCTGTGCCACCCTTAAAGCCTTTCTCTTGGTGCCAGCCCCTCCCCCCAGGTACCTGTGCCGGCCTGGGCCCTCAGGTGTCTAGTTGACCTGGCCCCTCTAACCCTGACCCCCAGGTGCCTGGCTGGCCTGGGACCTTCAACCCTGACTCCCAGGCTGCAGAACCAGTGCCTCAATTTGACTGCAGACTCTGCTTAGAGCCCTTGGGGCACCCATTGTCAGAGAGAGAAGACAGGCTCCATGCTGCTCTCAGGGGCTTGAGATTTGGCCTCTGTCACCCTCTAGCTCTAACATCAATCCCCTACCTCCCCCCGCCCCCATTAACCACCTGCTGGCCACCCCAGCTGTTCCTTGACTACCCTCTGTCTGCCCTGCCCTGCCCTGGGCTTTTCCAAGACAGCCCAGGTGTTACTTCTTCCAGGGAGCCCACCTGGACCACCCCAGGGACAGTCAGTTCTTTGTCTGCTTTGCCAGGTGCGGAAGTCCCCGCTGATCCTGCTGCCACATGCAGCGGGGGGCGGGGAGCCACAGTGCTGCCCCACCAGGCCTGGCTCAGCCCCGATACCACACTTTTGGCTGAGATGGGGGTGGCCGACCTTGGGGTTCCACGGGTGAGGTTATCTCAGCTGCGTGGCCCCGGGTGCAGCTGCTGGGCCCCACTGTTCTGGTCTCTCCCATCTGCCTGTCATGAAGGTGGGGCCGTGGGCCGCTCACTTCCACTGTGGCTCACTGCTTGGTACACTGCTGGCACCAGGCAGTGCTGGGTGAATGGAGGATTTGAACCTGAGACCTGCTGGCAGAGGTTTCCTGTGGGCTTCCCAGGCAGGTGTCACCTCTCCGGCCTGGGCCTCATCCGGCTCTCTTGCCCCAGAGTCCCTGTCGGCTGCCTGTGGCCTCTCCGTGCGACCTGCTCCGTCAGGCAAGCTCCTGGAGTGGGCAGGAGGCGGCAGCAAGTCCTGGCTCAGGGCTCCAGGAACCGGGGCAACAGCCGCAGGCCTTCCTCCCTGTTCCGGGCTGGATTCTGCCCGAAAAAAGTCACTGAGATCACTGAAGTCAGGGTCTCCTGAGCCCACAGGGAGTGTCTGGCCTCACCCGTCTTTCCTTTCTTGCCACAGAGGACCCCTGACCCAGAAACCTGGTCCAGCAGCCCCCTTACTCAGCGCTCGGCCCGGCCAGGGCCTCATCTGCTCCCTGCCCTCACAGCAGCCTGAGGCACGGCCGGTCCCTGAGCACCTCTCTCCGCACTCACCGGCCCAGGAAGGCACTGCTGACTCAGGGACTCCGTCCTCCAAGGACCATGTTTCCTGGCCTTGGACGCAGCTGTGACCAGGCACTCAGGGCCCACTGGGACAGATGTGCACCGACTTCATGCAGCTTCCCAAGATCCCGGCGGCAGAGGGGGAACAAGGAGGGTCCCCTACCCCCTGCAAGCATCCGGCTTCCTCTGGGTCTGCAGCCTCATGAACAGGGCTCTCTCCAGCTGGGGGTGCACTCATCTGTGTTCCCACACCCGGGCCGTGGGCCGCCCCTCCCAGGATGGTCATTCACGTCTGAGACCCTGCCCAGCGTGGCGGCTCGGAGACTGCTCTTGCCCTTCGTCCTCTCCAGTGGAACCTACTCTGGCCCTGGACTGGTTCAGGCTGGACAGGGACTGTGAGAGCAACCAGGAAAGGGGCCCTCCTCCTGGAGGGACCCCACCCCTAAGACCACTCTGAGCCCATTCCGGTCACATGACCCTTTCCTGGCCTGAGGGGCTTCACTTGGGCCAACACAGGGGGCGGTGGGGAGGCCTGGCCCAGAAGCCCCAGCTCTGGGAACGAGAGGCTTCTGCTGAGCCCCCGGAGCCCTGGGGAACCCCCAGGAGTACCGTGGGACACAGGACCCTGGACCACCGAAAACCTGTACAATAGTCCATATATTTATTCTTAAGCAAGTTATCAATAAAAAATTTGATACTAAAATGCCTTTACATAGAGTCTGCTGTTCATAAAACCTTTGTGTGTTTTTTTGTCCATTTTGTTTTTAGTGTTTACATTGAAAAAAAATCCAACCATCCCCTTAGTTTACACATTTACAGGAATCGTGCCTTCGTCACGTTAACCACGGTGAGAGGGGAGGGGCCGCACCATTCGCACGCACACAGAAAAAGAAAGGAAAAAACCAGGGACAAAGCGGAACCCAGCAGAAGCGGGACGAGGACGAGGCGGCGGAGCAGAGGATCCAACCTCCGTGGCTGCACCCTCCTCGGCCCTCTCTGGAACTCCAGTGGCTCAGCATGCCCCCGTGCATTTTTCTTCACTTGACATCGTTCTGATCCCCGAGCCTCAAGCAGGACCTCGTCCAACCACCTCCCCAGACAACCACCGGGAATGAAATATTGCACTCATGCGAGACAAAGGGTAGGCTCGGGGGTGGGAGCGGGGGGCTGGAGGCGGGGACCCCCGACCACAACATAAGCCCCCAGCCTTGAGCCTCCTGGGGAGCCTCTGGGAACGGCCCTTCAGGGGGTCCAGCCAGCAGGTGAGAAACAGGCCCCAATGGGCCCGAGAAAAATAGGGGGCCAAGGGGACCTGGGATTGGGGTACAGGGCACCCACCAGCACCCTGCTTCGAGGCCTGTGGTGTGGGGGACACAGAGCTCGTCCTAGAGCAGTGGCTAACTTGGGGGGCTTTCCTGAAGCTCCCGTGGGGCCAGGGGAACCTTAGTGTGGGAGGATATAAGGAGTGTGTGGCCCCCCATGCGTTTCTGAGGCTGAAGGCTGTTGGGCTCAGGTCCAGGCAGCCTGTCTGTCCTTGGCTGTGGGAGAAGGGGAGGGGTGTGAATTCCCTGGGGATACTGGGGCAGAGCCCTCGAGGGGTGCTGCTTGCACCTGGGGCCAGGATTTGGGCTCAGGTGGTCAGGGGGACCCTCATTCTATGCCCCAAGCACTAGCCCATCAGGCCATCTGCCCCACCAAGTGGCACAGAAAAGGCCGAGAAACCTCCAAAGGGGTTGGGGCAGGCAGAGGGGTCCGAGGGCCAGGCAGATTTGGCTGGTGGAAAAGGGGGCCCAGAAAGGGGCCTTCCCCAAGGGCAGGGCCTGCGTTTTATTTTCTTCTCCCCTGGCCACAGCACTGCTGGCCTGGCCTCACCACCATCTACGCAGCAGGCCAGGGGTTTGGGGGCACCAATAAGGTGGGTGGGAAAAGGGGTGTCTTTTGCATGCATTCTGCTTGGGGGTGAGGAGAGAATCTGGTGGGACTGTGAACCTGCCCTCATAGGCCCCGAGCCCTGCCCAGTTCAGGAACCTGGCCAAACTGCCCCTTCTCACGGCACCTACTACTTTCAGGAAAGTTAGGACCCCAGGGGTGAGGAGGGGCTCAGAGCTGGGCCCTGCTTCCCGAGTGTGCCAGGGCGGCGAGGGTGAGGGGGGCGAGGGGCCAGCCCCTCCCTGCTCTGGGTGGAGGCCAGACTCCTTGGCCTCAGACCAACTGGCCCCGGAAACAGAAATCAGATATAGGTTGGAATATGATTCAGCAGATACAATCCAAACATTGCTTTTTCTTATCAATACTTTAAAATATTTGTTCGTCTTTGTCTTGTTTTGAACACAGGTGAGATGCTCACGGCTGTTGTCACACTCCCTGGTCTGGGCTTTGCCTCTTGAATCCTTTCCCCACGGGCCCCTCATCACCACCCCCTGCTCCAACACTTCTTTTCTAGGAGATGCACTGAAAGCAAATAAACTTGACCGACTTTCATCTTACACGGTCGTCCCCCCAAGAGATCAGAGGGTGCCGTCAAGGGTCCCACCTGACCCTCCCGTGGCCTCTGCCCCCTGCCCCGAGATGCCTCTGTCGTCCCAGGTGCCCCCGTTGGAACCCAGCTGGGCTGAGAACAGTGCATTTCCAAAGGAAACCCCAGGACAAAAATCGCCACACACGCGCACACACATACACGCTCACACACACCTTGTCACGCGGATGGGGAAAAACCCTTTTCCACTTTTTACCATAAAATTTCCCCGCAGAAATACAATATTTACATAGAGAAATAAATAGACAACACACCTGATTTCTGCTTTCCCTGGTGGGAGACAGTCGGAGGTACTAGGGAATATGGCTTGGATTCAAATCTCCCGTGAACTGCCGGTGCGGGAAACGGAGGGCGCTGTGGGTGGGGCGGGCCGGGGACCCATGAGGGCCACAGCCCGACCCTCCGCAGAGGATGGGACGGGACTGGATTCCGACACCTGGAGCGCTCTTTCCAGGGAAAACCGTAAGAAAGCCTGGGTCTTGCCCTGTGGGCTTTTGCATATTTGCTCAGATGCGCCCTTGGGAGGCCGGGGCTGCCTCCTGCCCGGTGGCTTGGCCGACGCCAGGCTCCGCACACAGGGTCCCTGGCGCACGTGGGAGGCATCTGCGGTGGGCGGCTCAGCATAGGATGGGCACGCCATCAGCCGTCACCAGGCGCCCGGTGGTGGGGTCGTAGGTGCCCGCCAGGTAGTAGAGGTCCTGCCGGTCCTGGCACTTGCGGCTCCGGGCCATCTGCTCATACTGCTCGCGCGCCACGACCTGGCACTTGTGGGAGATGGTCTGCACGTCGTTCTCATCCTCGTGGCAGGACTGGTACAGCGCATTCTGGGGGCAAGGCGCGCGGGGCATCAGTGGCCGGCCTTGGCCAGTGCGCCCCTGCCCAGCCAGGAAAGACCACCCGCCCACCCATGCTCTGTAAGGGTCACCGGATGGACTTCTGTGTGGCCGGAAGACGGGGCCGAGGAACCTGCCAGGGACCAGGTCCAGGCAGCCCTGTCTGTCCAGAGGCCGAGGAACCTGCCGGGGACCCTCTGGGGGCTGTCGGAGTCAGAGAAATACTAATTTCCCTGAAAGATGGACGTGTCATATGGTCTGGAAAATGGCTTCTTCTCAGAGAGGAGCAGAGGGTGTGCTGAGTGCAATTTCTGTCTCAGGCTGGCACTGGAGGCAGGGAGGGCCCACGGGGTGGGGGCCGCCACACATCCCAGGAGTGAACTAGACCTGCCGGATGCTGAGCACTGCTGTGGGCCACAGCCCCCCACTGTGGGGAGGGACCTGGGAGCCCTGCTCTAGGGCATGCCCATGGGCTGTGCGGCTCCCTGCAGGGCCGTGGTACCTGCTGAGCGGGGGCTGTGTGGTGGGGCCAGGTGCTCCGTGTTGGGGCACAGTGCTGGCTGCTGTCGTGTCCCCTCCCTGGGGCCCCGAGGGGGGCTGGGCCCCACACCTGTCCGGGCCTCACCTTGCCGTCGCACTGCCTCTTGCCCAGCTTGGTCTCCTCAGGGTGGTAGAACCACTTGACCTTGACCACCATGTTGCTGCCCCACGACTCCCACATGCTCTCGATGCGGCCGATGTAGGGGAGGTTGGGCCGCCCAGCTGACAGGAAGACAGCACAGTCCCCGACACGCAGGGTCTCCTCGCCCCGCACGATGGCCTTGTAGAACAGCTTCCGGGCCTTCCCCTTCATGCCACGCCGCTGTGGGGGACATGGGCAGGGTGGCTCTGAGAGGCCGGGGGGCTGTGGGGACAGATGGCGGCCAGGAGGCATGGAGGGTGTGGTGTGGGTGTGAGTGTGAGTCTGAGTGTGAGTGTGCAGGGCGCCCACAAGGGCAGGAAGCCGCAGCACCGCGGCTTAAGGCCATGGCAGCCATGGATCTGGAGCAGGGCCCACGCCTCCACGGAGCCCGCACATGGAATCATGACGTCTGGACACTGGATCTGGGACAGGGACATGTGGACAAGACGTTCACCACAGTGTTATTTACGAAGGCAAAAGACCCACGAGTGGCCCCACATGCGCCCCCGAGCAGTGCCCTGGTGAGGACAGACGCAGGCATCTGAGTGCGGGGATACACAGCTCTCCAGCTGGCCACGCCACTTATCGACGTGGAAAAGTGAGGCCACACCATGCGGAGTGCAGCTCGGGCCCGGCCCGACATGAAGCCATTTCTACTGTCACGCAGGCCACGGGCTCCAGCGAGGGGCCAGCGGAAGCGGCTGCCTCACTGGGTCATGGATGGGTCTTTGTTCTTCCCTTGAGTTTTCCACATTTTTTAACTTGAAATCAAGTAGGAAGATGAAAAAGGAGAGGGAAGGGCAGCAGGGGCGCATGAGCCCGCCCCGGTTTCCTTGGGAACCAGGAGCTCCTCCCGCCTCCCGCTGGACCTACCTGTGTGGGATTCCCCGACCACTTCCAGAGCTGCCGGGCGGGCAGGAAGGCTGAGATCTTTGGCCGGTTTTCCACGGAGGGCGGCCGCTGCCTCCGGGAGAGCTCTTTGGCTTTGGAGAAGCTCAGGGCCTCTTTGCGCTTGAGCTTGGATTTGCTGCTGCTGCTGGGGCCTGAGCCCGCACCGGTGCCAGCCACCGTGGCCCTGGACAGGAAGCAGCGCTGGGCATGCGCGTGAGGGCCGCTGCCCTTGGAGCGCAGGGCCTCGGGCTGGGCCAGGAGGGTGGGCACGGGGTGGGTGAGGCAGGTCTGCAGCAGCAGAGCCGGGTCCTCGTCGTCTGAGCTGTAGGACGAGTCCTCGTTGTCGGAGGAGCAGAGGCTGGAGGTGGACACGGAGCCTGAGGAGGAGGAGGTGGACGAGCCAGAGGAGGAAGAGGACACGGACAGGCGGGCGAGGAAGCGGGAGGGCACGCCGGCCGCCAGCCCCGGCCCGTCCTCGTCCTCGTCCGAGAAGGAGCTGTGGCAGTCGCTGTCGTAGGGCAGCGGGAACTCTGCCTGGCCCGCGTACTTGCGCAGCGCCAGCCCCATGGGCAGCGGGGGGATGGGTGCCCGCCCCTTCTTGTCCTTGCCCACAAGGGCCGGGTGCACATAGCTGGGGCTGGGCAGGGGCCGCCCGAGCTTGGGGCTGAAGTCCTTGTCCCCCATGAGCAACGCCTTGCAGGTCTTGTTCTTGGGGGAGGTCACACCCTCGTGGTCCAGCTTGACCAGGAACTCACCGCCCGCCCGCCGCCGCCCACCCTTCTCGGCCTCCACCCTCTCGGCCTTCTTAGCCCGCAGCAGCTTGTGGGCTCCCCTGGGGAGGCCCGGCCCGGTCCCCCCGACGAAGGGCGCGTAGGAGCTGGCCAGGCTGCTGAAGGAGTCGGCGCGGAAGCCGTTGCCAAATATGGGTGTGGCCACGCTGTGCACGGGGAACAGGGCCTCGCGGGCCCGCAGCTTCTTGCTGCTGCCGTTGAGCTGGAAGAGGTTCTGCAGCACCCCCGGCCCCTTGCTGGCCGCTGCCACCGCCTTCCGCTTGGTCTGCGCCACCGCGGACCAGCTCAGCAAGGGGCTGCCACGGCGGCCCAGGAAGTGGTCGGAGGCCCCCGTGGGGGATTTGGCACCTGAGGTTAGGAGTTCGGCTTTACCTGAGGGCAAAAGCCCAGCAGAGTCAGCCCCAGCTGGGCCCACAAAGCTGCCTCCACCTGCCCCTCCCCAGACCCTGCCTACCCCACGGGCCTCCTGCTTCCCCCAGCCCCCAGAGGGTGCCTTCCCCGATCCGGATTCTGGGAAGTCCGGTAAAATACCAGCTTTGTCTTTGCTAATGGATTTTTTCCCAGGTGTCTTCAAAGCTTCGGGGCCGTCCTGTGCTTTGGGGGACAGGCTGGGGGTGGCGGCTTCACTAGGCGGGGGTGCCTCACTGGATACCTTCTTGGTCCTCCGGCAGCTGCTAGACACTAGCAGGGCTGGAGAGGGCTCTGTGCCTGTGGATAGCATGGGCCAAGGGCTTCAGTGCCATGGCTGTGGGGTGACTGCCACCCCAACCCTTCCTTGGGAGCCCGTCTGGACACAGTGGAGCCCAGGCAGGGCCCTGCCCCGTGCAGCTCCCAGGCTCACACTGGATCTTGAAGTCAGGGGGCAGCAGCCTGACGTTGGAGACGGCGATGTGGCCTGTATCCCCATCGTCAAATTCCACCACTACTGAGTCCAGGTCCTCATCTTCGTCACCGGAGGCCCCTGTGGACGGCACACCTGAGCTTGCAGCTGGAACCCCCAGTAGGCGCCCGAAACAGGGAGGCGGGGCTGCCAAAGCCGGTGGGGAGGGTGAGGGGAGGGCTCTGGGGTTCTGCTCCCTGACCACACAGACAGTGGAGCCGCCCTGCAGCCCAGGAGCGGGGGCCTCCTCTCCACCTCCTGCAGTGCCTCCCATGTGATGCCACCGTCACCCCACCCAGCCCAGAACCAGACCTCCCCACACGTGCTGACGCCCACGTGCCCACCTCCCAGCCGAGTCCCGCCTGGAGGCGCCTCCCGCCCACCTGGCCACTTGCCTGTGGGACCCTTGAGCCTTTCGCCCTAGGGACCTACATGCCCCTGCCTGTAGTCAGGAGGTTTTGCCCAGGGGAGCTGGTGCCCCCTGACGTACTCTGTGACCCCCAGCAGCAGTGCTCAGGGCCCCTTCCTGCTGGGCCCTCTCTGCTTGGCTGGAGGCCGGAGCCCCCACCCTCCCTCCCCACACACCCTGTGCTTTTTCATGGCGCCTGGGGAGCTCATTTTATTGTCGTACTCTGTCTAAGCAGAGAGCTGGTTCTGCCCTCGCCAGCCTCGGAAGCCAGGCTGTTGGGGGCAGATATGAGCCTGTGGGTCTCAGAGGGGCCTGCCCCAGCCCCCGCTTTGGGTGCAACTTACCCCGGACCACGTTGCCCGGGTACAGACATCGAGACTTCTGACTCCAGTAGGCGCAGACCCGCGTGCCGGGCGGGAGGTACCGGCTGGACTGTGGCCGCACATCGAGAACCTGCAGGAACGCGGGCGACGACCCATGAGCAGGTGGGGCCCGGCCCAGGGCTGCCTGAGAGTCTGGTCCCTGGGCCTGGGAGTGGCTGCGGCCCAGGCCAAGGCCTTCCTTTGTCCTGGGACAAGCCAGCCAGGCCCCTCCCCGGGGCGGGCCGGCCCGGTCCTCACCGCTTCCTGCAGCAGCTGCTCCAGTGAGTAGATCCTCTGCCGGTTGCCCCTCTCGCCCTCGATGACGATGCTATAGCTGGGGGCATTGGGGAATGTGAGGTGCCACGGGTCTCGGTTGCCCTCCAGGCCCCTGCCCTGCCCCACCATGCCCAGGCCTCACATGTCGGGTGGCTGCAGGGTCCTGACGCTGCCCGCGTACAGCAGGCTATCCTCCTTGGGGATGAGCACAGGCAGCCCGTCCCGCAGGTCCTCCTTGTGGATGGCACACGAGCGCGCTGTGGGCACAAGGTGTCAGCGGCCGGCACGGCCTACCCACCACCCCTCCCCAGGCGGCTGGCACCCTTCCTGGCCCTGCTCACCTAGGGCGGCGCTCTGCTCTGCGCTCAGAGGGCCGCTGTCCTCCTCCTCTTCCTCCTCGTCCTCCTCCTCTTCCGAGAAGCTGCTGTTGTCGTCGAACTCAAAGTCTTCCTCCACGGCGAAGCTTTCCAGCAGGCGGCTCACGGCCCGGCCCTTGCCCTGGGGGCCAGAGGAGTCAGGCTTGGGTGGGGTGCAGGCGGGGTGCAGGTGGGTGCACAGTGGGCTCCCAGAGTGGGGGGCTGCTACCTGCTTGCCGGCCTTGTGCTTCACCTTGCTCAGCTTCCGGCCCTTCCCCAGGATGGCCTTGGCGTTGCGTGTGGCCAGCGTGATGGACAGGGCCCCGTTCTTCCGCTGCGCGTGGGCAGGCAGAGAAGGGGCTGAGTCAAGGGTGGGACAGCCTCAGGTTGACCCAGAGCTCAGGGGCCAGCGTGCGGGGGAGGGCGGGGAAGGCCTTTCCTCACAGGCACCCACCCTCTCCGCCCAGCACCCCAGAGCCCAGCCTCACCCGCAGCACTGGCTGCAGCACTGTGCCCTTGCGCGTGGCCCTCTTGAGGCGCTCACTGGCCAGCTGGCTGCCCTCCTCACGGCAGGCGAAGGCCCGAGAGGGGTTGAAGAGGGCGTCCCTGCTGGGGGTGGCCCCCGGCTCTGCCCGCAGGCTGCCCTTGGCCTTGCCCTTGGCTTTCTTCTTGCCCAGCGCACCTGGGGGCCTCTGCCCTGGGGCCCGCTCCAGGGTGGTGCCCACCTTGGCCTTCACCGACCGCCTCTTGATCTTGACCTCACTCTCAGGGCTGGACAGGCGGCAGGCCCCTGTGGGAAGGAGAGGAGGCCGTCACAGGGGTCCCCATCCTAGAGACCCAGCTGGTTGGGCTGACTGTGCCGGTCCTCCCTCCTGGTTACCTAGCAACCCCTGCCCGCCCCCGGGTTACCCAGCAACCTCTGCCCTCCCCCTCCTGGTTACCCAGCAACCCCTGCCCTCCCTCCTGGTTACCCAGCAACCCCTGCCCTCCCCCCGGTTACCCAGCAACCCCTGCCCTCCCTCCTGGTTACCCAGCAACCCCTGCCCTCCCTCCTGGTTACCTAGCAACCCCTGCCCTCCCCCCGGTTACCCAGCAACCCCTGCCCTCCCCCTCCTGGTTACCCAGCAACCCCTGCCCTCCCCCCGGTTACCCAGCAACCCCTGCCCTCCCCCTCCTGATTACCCAGCAACCCCTGCCCTTCCTCCTGGTTACCCAGCAACCCCTGCCCTCCCTCCTGGTTACCCAGCAAACCCTGCCCTCCCTCCTGGTTACCCAGCAACCCCTGCCCTCCCTCCTGGTTATCTAGCAATCCCTGCCCTCCCTCCTGGTTACCTAGCAACCCCTGTCCTCCCTCCTGGTTACCTAGCAACCCCTGCCTCTCCTTCTTCTTCTTGGCCTTCTGGTTGGCCTCCATCTTGACCACAGAGGAGGGTGAGGGCCCCAGCACGGCCACACTGGCCCCGGCGTGCAGCAGCAGCCCTGCTTCCCTGGGTGGTGCCTCTGTCCCCAGGAGACCCTCGCAGTCCTCACTGTCATAGCCACTGCCTGGGAGAGAGGCAGAGGGGTCCTGATGACTTGATGGTAAGCTGTGCCATTGAGAGGTGGGGGAGGTGACCCTCTGGGCATGCGGTTATGGCGGGGCTGTGAGTGGAGCTGGTCACCGTCACCCTCTGGGCCGCTCTGTGGGGCTGCTTTGGGGGCAGGTGCCTGAGGTCCTGGCCTCCAGCCTGAAGGGATTTGTATGGGTGTGGGGAGGGGTGTTTTTTTCTTATACCCTGGGCAATAGGGCACCCACCAGGCAGGGCTGGGGCCCCCTCCCCAGAAAGTCCCTTCCCCTTTTTCTGCTGTCCTCCGCCCAGATGGCCCTCTGCCCCTCCCCCAGCCCCAAGCGGCCCTCCCTTTGTTCTTTCTCAGGCATCTGAGACCTTGGGGGAAGGGGCTGGCAGAAGAAAGGAAGCTTCTATTTTTCTAGGCTCCTGTTTCTGGACACACGTGTTTGCTGGGGGGGTGGTCAGATAACGCCTCAGGGTCAGCTCAGCCGGATGCTACAGTCACAGGGGCTGGGGCCGTTGAGAGGGCTATTTTTAACCTGGATGCTTCCAGTGGGGGTCCTTCCTTCCCCTTCGGCCCTGACATGGGGGTGAGGCATGCTGAGCCACTGAGCTCTGCCTGGGGATGGGGGTCTCCTTCCGTGAGACCTTCATCTCCTTCCCCAGCCTGTTCAGTGAAAACGTCTCCTTGGACCTGTCACACCCCACAAGCCATGACCCAGCCCTGGTGGCGGCCATGAACCTGCCGCCCCCTCCTCCAGCCCCCGAGCGACCATGACCGGGGCTCCTGGCAGTGGCCACTCACGCCAGCAACTTGCCTGCCTCCTGGGACGCAGCCACGGAGGGCTGGGCTGGGCACCTGGGTGTCTCCCGGCTGCCGTGGCCCTTGGGCTGTGGGTGCCGTGTGGCCCCAGACACCTTGGCACTCTTGGCTCGGGACAGCTTCTCCCGGATGCGCCCCCCGGGGGTAGCCTCCTTCTGCTGGAAAGAGCTGAGGCCTGTGGGCAGCCCTTTGCTCTTGACCTTGGGTTTCAGCTGGGCCACCCTGTGGGCCACGGAGGGCGCCAGCCCGCCCTGACAGCTGCTCTTCTTACACTGCGCCTTCTCCTGTGAACAGGGAGGGGCAGCTGCACTCTCAGGGCGCCCTCTGCAAACCACAGCCCCTGGGCGGTTAGGTGCCTCTCTGTTGATGCCCGGCTCAGAACTGGTACCTCGAGGCCCCTGCCCTCGATCCACAGGGGCTGAAGGGATGTCTGGCCCAGAGACACAGGGCCTGCCCCTGGAGCCTACGCTGCGGCCTTTCCCACACAACCCACTGCCCACCAACTGCCCACCCCACGTAGGGGACATGGAGGAGGCTGAGGGCCCAGTGGCTGTGGGTTGTGGGGCCAGGCTGTTAGCTTTTCTAAAGGGAGGGATAAAACAGCATCTGGGCAGAAGGATCAGCCCCCTGGGCAGACAGGTGAAGTATGCTGGGGCCCACGTCTCACCAGCCCCGCCGAGGCCACGGAGAGAGGAGGGGCAGGAGGCAGCTGTTGTGCCAAGAAAGAAGGGGTGTCGGCAGCCGAGAGAGCCCCCACCACGCCAAGAAGAAACAGGGTGCCAGCAGCGTGGGGAGCCCCCCCACACCAAGAAGAAAGGGGGTGCCGGCAGCCGGAGGAGCCCCCGCCACACCAAGTGTGCCCTGGGCCACCTGAAGAAAGGCAGGGCCTCGTTCCAGGGAGTCTCTGTGAGCAGAGTGTAGCCTGGGCATTTGCTTTCCTGCTGGAGTGAGACGAGGAGGGTGGAGTGACGTGGGCAAGTGGCGGCAGGGCCACCCGGTCAGACCTTCCTGTGTTACACCGCAGGGTCACCCTCCTCCTCCTGCTGTCGGCGCTCGGAGCTCCCCAGCCTTGCTTCGCTCATCTGAGCAATGGGTTTCGGCACAGGGCTGGGGAGAGTCTGCTACCTGCCAGGAAGGGACCTGAAGGGACCTGAAGGGCCCTGGGGCAAGGCGGGCGCCTCGGCACTCACCACGGAGGCAGTCTGCAGGCCCGCATAGACGCTCCTCTCCAGCTTGCTTCGCTTCTTCGCAGGCTCGCCCCCACTGCCTCCTCGCAGCTCCGCACACAGCAGACCCAGGCTTGTCCGCACCGCCCTGGGGGCATGGGGTGGTGGGTGCAGGGCAGATGCAGGCCCGGCCGCCCCAGCCTTGTCCCCCTACTGTCTCTGTAGTGGGTCACACTGTGGGTCACCCTCCTCCAAGGGCCCCACGTCTCGGGCAGACAGAGCAGGGGGTGAGGGGCCCCGGGGGCCGAGCCAGCTCTGACCTCCTCTGAGCACCTGCCTGCAGCCAGCCCCTCTGCCTGCCAACCACCGGCCCTCAGCAGTCCCTATATCCTCAAATCCGCCCCATCCCCCACTTGGCTATACTGGAAGTGGGCACGCTTCTGTTACCCAAATCCCATCCTTCCAGCCTGATAGGAAGGAACGCCCTGGCAGTGCTGTCTGGTCCTAGCCACAGTGACCCAGAGGCCAGGTGTCGGGGGCTGGGGCCGGTGAGGGCTCTGAGGGGCCGCCCAGTGCTCAGGAGCCAGGGCTCTGCTGCTACTGGGGCCTGAGTGGGGCTGCAGCCCCAGCCTTGGCACCTGGAACAAGGGACAGCCACACATGTGCCTGTCTGAGTCTGGGGCAGGGCTTATGCAGGCCGGGCCCGGCCCTTGGCGGGTGTTCAGGGCCTGATACTACCACCCTTAGGAGTGGGGCAGGCACCGGGCAGGTTTGTGAGAACTGCACCCACATTTCCGCCACAGCTGGAAGAGGACGTGCCAACCGGAGTCCCACCAGGGGCGGGGGTAGGGGCAGGCGGGTGGGGTGGGGTGGGGGCGGTGTCCAGAGAAGCCTGGGCTTTCCCCTGAGTCCCCAGGGACCCCGTTGCCGGGCTCAGGCCCTCTCAGGAGCCCATTCTGTCCTCCACGCGGGTCTTAAGGATGGAATTCTGCATCCCTGGCCCCTCCCAGATGGAGCCCTGGACACTGCGGAGGCTGAGCCTCAGTATTCCCCATGCCCCAGAGCTGTGCTGTCCCCCAGGCTGGGAGCTGGGGCAGAAGTCAACTCCAGCCTACATGGGCCCAGCAGCTACCTCCAGATGCCCCAAAACAGGTCCCACCTGATCCCCCCACATCCTGGGCTCCCCATCTTGTGTGGGTGACCCACCCTCCCCAGAACCTCCCACTGCCCCATTTCACATGGAGAAGCCAAGGCTTGGGGAGTCTCTCTGCCTGTTCTTGGCTAGACAGGGGCTGGGGGCTTGGCCTCTCACCTTTCAACCCCCACCTGCCCACAGGTGCAAAGGGATACCCAGCTGCTCATGAAAATGAATCCCAGATGGAGACAAAGAGCCCTGCCTGGCCCTGGCCTGGCGTGGCCGGATGTCCCTTTCCACCTTCCTGCTCACAGAGGAGGCTGGGCTTCTGAGGCCTGAGGGGCCAGGCAGGAAGCCATGGGCCACAAGGCACCCCTGGGCCCCCGCTCCCCGACTTCCTGCATGGTAGAAGGCCCGTCCCGGGGCCAACTGCCTCTGCCACCACTGCCTGGATGAGTGAGGGCAGGAGGTGGAAGGGTGAGGTGGGGCCCTGACCCTCGGGAAGAGGGGTCCTGGACTCAGTTTCCCTCCCTGTCCTGAGGCTGCTGCCTTCTAGCCAGATCCTGGTTTCCAGGGGCCCTGTCCTGCCCAGCAGTTCCCACAGTGCTGGCTGGTTCTCAAAGGGAGACCCCAGGAGACCCCCCCCCAGGAGACACCTGGGCAGGGCAGGGGCAGCTCTGGGGGGGGGCAGCCATATGGTGACCCCTCCACTGCCCACAGCCACACAGCCCCTCCCCGTAACCTTCTCTGCATTTGCTAATGTTTTGTGACATGAAGCCCTGAGATTAATTTTTTGCCTGTCTTAATTGAAGGAACCATTTAGTGCCGATTTAACTATTATTACCAAATCATCAGGATTGATGCAGTGCGCACACGCACGCGCCAATCGTGTTTGGAGGAGCTCGGAGGATTTATGCAAATGGGCCTGCCGGGAGAGGCAATTTGTAGCCGAGAAGGACAATTATACCAGGCCCGGGAGTGCGCCAACGACTGCGCCGGGCGGGTAATGGATAATAACATCGCGCCGGCAGCCGTGAGCAGCTCCACAGCGTGACCAACGACTTTATACAGTGCAGATAAAGAGGCCTGCACGCAACACCGCCTCACACTCCAGGGGGGCCGGGCGGGGACGATGCCACAGCCAGGTGTGCAGAGCCGGCGTGGCTGGGCCTGGGGGCCGTGACTTCCAGAGGGGGACCCGGGCCAGGGTGGTGCTGGGAGCTGCCAGAAGGGCAAAGCCTGTCTGGAGCAGGGCTCTGTCTGCTGGTCACTCTCGATGGTCTAGGAAGGGCAGGGCCAGGCCTTCAGAGTAGGTGTGAAGGGGCACCAGCAGCCTGGAAGCCTCAGGGGAGCCTGGACCCTGCTCCCCAGCCTCGAGGGCCCAGGGCCGGCCACACGCGCCCTGCCATGCCAGTGCCCAGGACTCACTTGACTTTCTTGCCATCGCTCCTGGGGAGCGGCCCCGTGGGACGTGGGGCAGGCAGCGAGCTTGAGTGTTTGCGCTTCCTCGGCCGGCCAGGCCCCCGCCGTGCAGGGCTCCGTGAACTCTCGTCTCTCCTGGGGGCCGCAGGGGGGATGGTCAGAGGCTCATGCACAACCCAGCTCCCCGACAAGGTTCCAGCCGAGGGCATTGGCCTTCGAGGGCTACTGGGTGTGGGGAAAGATGCGGCCCAGACTCGGCCTGGGGAGCCTGACCCCTCACGCAGAGGGCAAGGCCAGCCAGGGGCCCCCGCCGCCCCCACCTCCTACCATCCACACACACTGGTCAGGTGGTGCCCCTGCCCTTGTTGCAACTGCGGGGTGTCCCCTCCCCCAGAGAATCCCCCAACTTCTGCCCTGGCCCCACAGCACCCCCAGTCCTCCCTACTCCCCCTTCTGCCACTGTCCTCTCACCCGCCACCCTGCGGCCAGCCTCCTGCCACACCAGGCTCTGACAAGCGGCTCTTCCACAGACCCCTGGCCCTGCCACTTGGTCTCGCTGCTGGCCGAATGCCTCCCTCCTTGGGCCCCACTGCCTCTGGGGGGCCTCCCCGATGGACCCTGGTGTCTGCCCACAGGTAGGGGGCAGAGCCCAATCCTGGCCTGTTCCCACATCGGCCCCAGCACTGTGGGCGCCTCCCGGGGGTGGGGGTGCTGCGACCCTCCCAGGCCCCCCCGCCACGCCAGGCGTACTCATGGTCGTGCTTGCGCTGCAGGCGGGCCAGCTCCCGCTGCTTCTCCTTGTAGCGCCGCTGCAGCTCCGCCAGCCGCACGCGCATCCCCACCTCCTGCGTGTCCAGCCGGTCGATGGCGGCCTTCAGGGGGCACACCTGGTGGGGGGGGGCACAGGGGCCTGTGAGCCGGGCCAGGGCCCAGGCTGGGGCTCTGTGGCAACGCACTGGGCGACGTGGGCACTGGGACCTCCACTCACAGGCTTGGTCTTGGGGGTCCAGGTGTCCTTGCGCTGCAGGATCTGCATGCGGGGGGTGAGCCTGGGGCCGCTGCAGGGGTTGGCTGTGGGCGGCTGCGCTGGGGCAGTGGAGCTGTCCAGGCCAGCAGCCTCCACCAGGGACCAGGCTGTGGCCAGCGTGGCCAGGTGCTGCAGGTTGAAGGCTAGCACGTCCTCTTCCTCCTCTGTGCGGCATGGGAAGGTCAGCATGGGCATAACTGGGCACACACTGCCCCTCACAGGCTCTTGATGTCAGCCCTGGCCCCCTGAAGCCACCCAGCCTTGAAGACCGGGATGAGGGTCAGGAGACCGGGAAGAGTGAGGTGGGCACCAGGGCTGACACCCAGCACCCCTGTTTTGCTGCATGCTGGGGAGACACTCCCTTGGTGGTAAGGCAGGGCCAGCTGGGAGGAC
The DNA here is from genome assembly GCF_000001405.40 of Homo sapiens. Lineage (NCBI taxonomy): Eukaryota > Metazoa > Chordata > Mammalia > Primates > Hominidae > Homo > Homo sapiens. The sequence continues at coordinate 107,643 of NW_025791805.1, read as the reverse complement.
CCACGGGGCAGGGTCCTCTGTGTCACAGAGCAAGACAGGCCCCAAAGCATCGAAGTAAAAGCAATCTGCTCGTTACAGCTTCTAACAGAAACGCCTGTGTGTCCCCCCACCGGGGGGGCCCTGCTTCGAACGGCAGCCCTGGGAAGGGATACTCTGGGGCCCTCAGAGACACAGGCAGTGCTACGAGAGCCCACTGAGGCCTCGCGCACGGAAGCTGCTGAAGTTCAACCGAGTTGAATGCTGTGGCTCAAGCCTGCGGTTCCAACAGGCGTCTGTCTACGTGGCTTCAACCAAGTTCAAAGTCACGCGGAGAGATGGCTTTGGAACCAGGGGCTTCAGCACCTGGGCATCACTCCATCCAGGTGGTGGAGGCTGGCGTCCCCCAGCAGCTAAGACCTGCCATTGCCTGTCCATCTGCCCATCAGTCCTTCCGTCCACTCGCCTGTGTGGACACCTAAAGAGCAATGGCTGCAGGGAGGCCAGTGGTCAGTGCAGAGGGAGGGGACAAGTCCCCTCGATACCTTTAAATTTGAGACAGGGTCTCGCTTTATTGCCTGGGCTGGAGTGTGGTGGCTCCATCACGGCTCACTGCAACCTCGAACTCCTGGGCTCCAGTACCCTCCCACCTCAGCTTCCTGGGTAGCTGGGACCCCAGGCCCTCGATTCCTTGTGAGGAGGGCAGCGGGCAGGGGTTTCTGGATGCAGTCTCATCTGCTGTGACCCTTCTCAGAGGAGCAGCCACCATTCCTCCATCCTCCCTCAGAGCACCAAATCCCTGCCCCTGCCCGGTCTCTGAACACAGTGCTGGGCTCTGCCAAGCCCTTTCCAGCACGCTCCAGCCCTGGGGCAGGCAGGAGGGCCATGGGCTGAACACAGGTCAGGAGGAAGGGGCTGCCAGGGCCGCATCCTCTGGGACCTCAACCTGGGGGCAGGGACGGGGGAGCTACCCTCACAGTGACCGCAGGAACAGCGGCAGCCCAACAGCCCAGGCAGTGGCCTGGGGAAGGGATGGCCCATCTTGGGGTCAGAGCATGGGCCAGCAGAGGCTGGCGTCCATGCAGGGTTGGGCCCAGGTTGGGGACTCAGGGCCTGAGTAGGGGAAGCCAGCCCTGAGGGCTGACCACAGAGACCAGGAACGGGGTCCCCATGGGCTGATCCCACAAGGACATCCAGCAGGAGACAGGAGCCAGACACCTTGCGGTGGGGGTGGGTGGTGATGGCCAGGAAGGCAGGAGAACTGCGGAACCCCTGTGGGGTGAGTAGAGGTGCTGGTATCCCCTGGGAAAGCCCAGGAGCAACGATAACCTCACAGCAACGAGCACCCCAAACCTAGTCTCTGCCTCAGAACCCCACGCTCCACTTAACGGACCGGGGCTCCCCAGAGATATGGCTCATCTCAGCCAGAAGCAGGAGTGCGGGAGAACCCCATCCACGATGGGACAAATCAGCGCCTGACAGCTGGGGCACGCACCTGAGATTCCACCAAAGGCACTGACCTGAGCGCCCAGGCTGGGGCACTCCATGGTGCGTGGCTGCTTCCCTCCTCAAGTATGGGGAGGGCCAGGGGGCCACAAGCCCAGACCAAGGGTTGATCCATCCCCAGAAGTCATTACTAAGAAGCCAGGAGGTGCTCGGAGGGGCAGATGCTGGGGTGCAAAGCTCTGGACCGAGACCACAGATCTGATGGGGACCAAGGGAACACTCAGGCTGCTGGGTCCAGGATCCGCAGGGAATGGGAGGGGGAGAGAGGGCCGAGGGGGGGTGGGCTGAGCAGCTGCTGCCATCAGCAGCCGGGGAGGCACATCTGCAGGCCCCTTCCACTGAAGGCCCCAGGTCTCCTGGGGTCACTGCAGTTGGCCAGAAGCCCCTCTGTGCCTCCCCTGCCCTTGCAGGCTACAGGCGTGTGGCTCCCACGTGGCCTCACCCAGATGGTTCTGCCAGTCCTGGGGGCTCTATGCTTGCCCGGCCCCGATGGTGGGGGCTTTTTCTCCACTTCCCCCTCTGCAAATCCTGCTGTCTGGCACAGGACAAAACCAACCTCCTAATTAATTTCAATTGAAGTGATCGCTACACTTGTAGGGATCAGCTCTGAGCCCAGCAGCTGCAGAGACCTGCCCATTAACGGGGACAAGGGGAGGGCAGGGGCAGGGGTGGGGGCCCAGGGGGGGACCATGAGGTGGAGACCCGGAGGGCAGAGCTGGCCCTGACTCCACTTCTGCACACCCTGGGGATTGGGACACCTGGCCTGGCCGGAGTGTGACGACATCCATGCTGGGTTAAGCCACATGGCCCACCACCCGGGACACGTGGTCTACACATGAGTATTCATGCAGTGAACGGGCTCCTGTCCTGCAGGCATTCACACAGGCAGACCGGCCACTCTGGCCATACACACGGGACCTGCTATCTACTGACGCCTCCTCATGCTGCCAGGTGAGGGTCCCTGAGACCCTCCCACGGCGGGTCCCTGGCAGCTCAGGCCCTGCCCCAAGGTGCCTCCACCTCGCCCTATCTAACTTCTCATATATTGCCAGCTGGAGGCCCAAGGGAGGGCCTCTGGGGGGTCCAGGTGGAGCCCACCCTGGTAGGACTCCAAGCTTCCTCAAACCCTCTGCACAGCCCCACCCAGAAGCAGGGACTCTGGGCCAGATACCCCCGAGGGCAGGCAGCTCCCAGCACTGCGGAACCACCCCTGCCGCGTGCGGGCCAGCAGCCTCATCCAGCACAGGGTGACCACGGGCCCCTGGGGAAATGCACTGTTCGAGAACATTCTCTTCATCGCGGTGGTGAGCTTTATGCATCCAGAAAGCAGCGGCCGAGCCCTGAAGACTGTCAGCTTCGTGCTATCAACAACCACGGCGCCGTGCCCGGCTGGGGGACGCCCTCCACCCCGGGGCTTTCTCTGGGGCCCACAGGGAAGACGGCAGGAAGCGGGCGCTTTCCCGGGAGCACTGGACCGCAGGGAGTGCCCGGACCAAGGCCCAGGGTGGACGAAGCAGACACCTGGCCCTCGGGTGTCCCAGGTGCTCTGGACCCGCCCACTGTTGTCCGGCTGTCCTTGGGGCCCCTGGGTGGGCGAAAGAGCCCAGGAGCTCCCAGTCCCATAGGCCTCCCCGCAGCAGGAGCCCCAGCCTCCTGCCCCCTCCCCTGGGCCTGAAGCGGGGAGCCGACGGTTCCTGAACTGGACCCCCCAGGCCAGGGTAGCAGCCGTGGAGGCTGAGGAGGTGGAGGCCTGGCAGAGCAGGAGGCAGGCGGCAGGCTCTCCTCTCCCCTTGCCAGGACGCGAGCCCCTGTTCAGCCACTTCCAACAGGAGGTGCTGCCCGAGAGGCCCTTCCTCTGAGACCACCATGGAGGTTAGTCCTGCTCCCAGGGCCCCACCTGGGACGGAGAGATTCGGAGATGGCACACCTGCCTCGGACTTCCATGGACGAGGGACGGCAAGGGGAGGCGGACACTCTCCAGGGGACCTACCACACTTTGGGGACAACTGAGCGGGGCCCAAGGCTGCCGTCTGGCCAGGTGACCCTGAGGCAGGCGTGTGGGTCCCACCGCTGGGACTCTGGGGGGTGGCGGCAACCACCGGGCTTACCTGGCACAGTCCTCTCACTCCTCTGCCGCTGGATTGCCAGGTCAGCCAGCTCGCTGAGCAGAGCGATCCCATGAATCCCTGAGCTATGAGGCAGGGGGACTGTGCTGGGGGGCCCAGAGGCCGCTGGGGGCTGAGGGTCCGGTGGGCTGTCGCTGGGCAGGTCCCCCAGGTTGATGGTGGCGGCCACCAAGGCATCCAGGCCTGGTAGCGCCCTGGGTGGGTGGCTGTTGTCGGGAGCTCCGCCACAGTCCTCCTCTGAGTCCTCCATGCTCTGCTGCCCCAGCTCGTCTTCCTCCAGCTCGTCCTCCTCAGGGGCCGGCTGCTCCCCCTCGTCCTCAAGGGCACCCGGACTCCCTGCTCGCTGCTCCAGGACTTGGGAGGAGGCCCCTGACGAGGGCCCCTGCTCCCCCTCCTCCCTGCTCCTCTCTTCTCGTGCCCCTCCCTGAGTAGAATGAGCCTGGCCGGTGGCCTCGGGGCCCCCTGCCTCCAGGAGGGCCGCACATTGCAGTTCTTGTAGCCCCTCTAGTGGGCTGGGGTCCGCTGCCTTCCCCTGGGGTCCCCGCTCGGCAGGGTAGGGGGTGGCGGCAAGGTCCTGGGTGGCCTCCCTGGCCCCTGAGAGCAGCCCGGGCTCCTCCAGGCTCCTGGGGCTGCAGGGAGGCGGCTCCCCAGGCAGGAATGTCCTTGTGGGCTCAGGCTGGGCCCCCGGGGCGGTGGTTTGCATAGTTTCAGGGTCCTCGAGGTTAGAAGAGTGCACGTCTGAGGGTAGGGAGAAGCCCAGGCCAGCCATGGGGCGCAGGTATCCGGGAGGCAGGTCTGCAAAGGAGGGGACAGGTCAGCAGGGAGCTGGGAGTGGTGGTGAGGGGGTGTCCTGCGATAGGACGGAGGACAGTGGCCTCGAACCCTCAGACCCAAGCCCGTGCGGAAGGGCCCTGGGCTAGCTGCAGGTCTGCAAGACTGGTGGCGGGGAAAGGGTTACGTTAATTAAGGGGGCAACCTGGCTGGGTGCAGTAGCTCACACCTGTAATCCCAAAACTTTGGGAGGCTGAGGTGGATGGATCATTTGAGGCCAGGAATTCGAGACCAGCGTGGGCAACAGAGTGAGCACGTGCCACTACAAAAAAATTAAAGAACAATGAGCTGGGCGTGGTGGTGCATGCCTGTGGTCCAAGCTACACAGGAGGCTGAGGTGGGAGGATGGCTTGAGCCCAGGAGGCCGAGGCTGCAGTGAACCATGTTCGCGTCACTGCACTCCAGACTGGGCGACATAGGGAGATACCCTGTCTCAAAAAAAAAAAAAAAAAAAGGTAGTGAGCAGCCTGAGGCCAGGCCCTCATTCCCCTAAAGAGTGGCCTTGAAGCTCCCCCCAACAACCCTGGCTGCCTGGGCTGGGGGTGGCCTCAGGAGCCATCTCTGGCATGGTGTGCTGTGGGTAACCAGAAAAGGGGGAATTTGTAAAACATGATGCTTTAATCAGGGTTTTCCCTGAACCAGAACAAGCCGGCAGCATGTCAGAGGCATCATGTCCCATTAACTGACAAAAAAAAAGAAAAAAAACGAAGGGAAAAAAACGGAAAAACCCTCTGCTAGCTCCATCTCCTGACTGTGAAACTAGGACGGGTTTTATGTTCGCCACACGGTTTCCAGTGTGACCTCTCAGTCCCACTCAGAGAGAATCAAATAGGCTGGCGGGGAGTGGATGGGCGGGTGGCAGGGGCCGAGGCCAGGCCCGAGACCCCCCCACCCACGGCACCCCGCCTCGCTGCCCCTCCCTCTCCCAGCTTTGCTGAGACCCTGAATGGCAGCCTGGTCAAGTCCCATGCCCAGTGCCCCCAGGGTGCCAGTACCACCACCAGCAGGCCCCGCCTTCATTGCTGGAGGGCCCCTACGACAGCCAGCGGGACCCCGTCTTCCTCCCGCCTTCGTCAGCCCACGGCCAGGAAGGGGGCGGCTGGGGCACTGTGTGCTTCTCCCAAGGTCATTGGGAGGACTGGGAAGAGGGAAGAGAGAGGAAGGGAACAGCCATGCTGCCCTGGGTCTGGGCAGGTGTGGCGCCTCCCTGCAGGCAGCCCGGATTCAGCGCAGCCCTGCCGGGCAGGGGTGGGAGGGCTTGGAGCGGAGCACAGTGGGCCGGGCCAGGCGGCTACTCTCACCTGGTTCGGATGTGATGATGTCGGCCGTGGACTGCTGACCCTCCCCATTCTTTTCCTCGGCGCTGCGCACCCGGGAGCCAGGCCCGGGGCTGCTGGCAGGGCAGACATTTAAAGTGCACGGGGCGCTGGGCCGAGGTGGTGGGGTGGGGGAGCTGGCGGGGGGCTTTGGGTCGGGCGGATGGCAGCAAGGTGGCAGCTTGGTGGGGCCTGCAGCGGGTGAGGGGGCGCCCGGGGCCGTGGGGGTTAAGGCAACTGGCTTGTGGGTGGACTTTGGGGCCTTCTCCTGGGCGGGCTCCTCCAGATCCAGGTGCTGGTCTTCGGGCTTCCGCTGTCAGGGATGGGGGCAAGCTCGGTCAGGCTCAGGATCCCCTGACCCCAGTGGGCCCCCTGCTTGGGTTCATCCTGCCAGAGGCCAGGCATGCAGGGGTCTCCTGGAGCCAGGTCCGGCCAGGCAGGGTTGGGGAGAAGTGCCCGGCCCAGGTGAGCGTGGCTAGGGGCGGTACCTGGAACTGGGCGGCCCTCTGCTGCTGCAAAGCATAGAGCTCCTGCTGCCGGAGGAGCTGCGGCCTCGAGTACACAGGGAGCTGGCCCGGGTGCTGCATGTGAGAGGCGGGGCCCCGGCCCCCGTACATGGGGGGCCACAGTGACGCCTGGTCCATGACATCCGCTGTGGGCAGGGCCCAGGAGGGGTCAGCCTGGCTGGGGAGGGGACAGCTCCGGGGCTGCTTCCCCGCCACCCTTTCCTCAGCCCACCAAGCCCACCGCTCCCTCCTGAGCCCTGGCCAGCACACCCCCGGCTGCCCCTCCTTCCAACAGCACCCCCCAAGTACAGCAGCCTGGACCAGGGGCCCTTACCAAGTGCGTGGGGGGCGCTGTGGGGTGTGGGCTCTGAGGGCAGGATGACCAGCTGTGTGGGGGCGTCCTGTGGGAGGGGGAAGACAGAGGGCACAGGGCCAGCCACGGAGGCGGGGAAGCCGGGGGGCAGGTTCTGGTGCAGGGCAGGGTGCCCCAGGCCTGGGAGGCAGAGGGCACAGTGGTCAGGCCTCGCACTCTCGGGGACCAGGAGGGAACCCTCATCAGCCCCAGGCCAGCCCCCGCCCTTGGATCACTGACCGTAGGAGTGCCCCCCCATCCACAGGGAGGGGCTGCGGGTGCGGGGCAGCCAGGGGGGATGGGGGTGGGTGTGGGGGGCTGGGTCCCCGCCCAGCTGGCCGCTCTGCATCATGAGGTGGGGGGCCAGGTCCCCAGGGCAGCTGCTCGGTGGGTGGATCCGGGCGAACTCTACGCGGTCTTTGCTGTCCCTGTAAGACCTGGGGCTCAGCCCTGCCGCCGGCGCCAAGGCCCAGCTCCCCATCCCACCCCCGGCCCTTTGTTGTCTCTGTAAGACCTGGGGCTCAGCCCCACCAACGGTGCCAATGCCTGACTCCCTGTCCCACCCCCTGCCATCAACCTGGGAGGGAGAACGGGACCTGGAGGCTCAGGGAAAACCCCAGGCTCCAGCCTCAGTGCTCTGCAGGGCTGACTGGGGGCCATCTCCTGGCCCCTGAAAGTGGGTAACCTGACCGCTGCAAGGGGTTAACTGAGACCCCCAACCCCGGGTGAGACTCCAGAAAGGCTCTAGGGGTGGGGAGAACCCCACCCACGGCCGGCCATAGAATCTGCTGCCCCAGCCATGACCACCCCTCTTTCTCCACGTGGCTCTGAGTGGGGAGCCCCAAGCCCAGGCCTAGCCCCACTCTCCAGGGCCACAGGCCCAGCTCTCACTGCAGCAGCAGCTCGCGGCTGGCAAGCCCCAGGCGGTCATCACATAGCCTCGTCCTCTCCTCCTCAGCCTCCAGGTCCAGCGCGTGTGTGGAACGGGGCCCACCGCCACCTGCACAGGGTCGAGACAGCAGACGGGAGAGGGTTGGGGCGGCCAGGGAGCCACCAGCTAAGGCAAGCAGTGACCCCGCTTCGAGCTGGGGGGCCTGATGCACTGAGGAGGATCCCCTGGTCCTGGGGCCTCGGAGGGTCTGCCAAGGGCAGGTGTGGGAGCTGGGGAGCCGGGGCGCAGGGCAGGGCCAGCTGGGCCCCCTAGACTGTCCCGGCCTGCCTCCCTCTCTGTGCAGGGCCTGTACCTTTGAAGGCGGGGGCGGCCCGGCCCTGCCGCGCAGTGTTGGTGCCGTAGGCTGCCTCAGACCGGCTCACTGTGTCCTTCTGCCGGGCCAAGGCCACTGCAATGCCCACAGGGGGCTGCCGCACCTCCCCGTCGCCGTGCGTGGTGTCGTGCTCCCTGCTGCGGGCACAGTCCGGCCTCTCCGACTGGCCTGGGCCCTTAGAGGACAGGAACTTTGCTTCCTGCTGGATGCAGCTGGCCTTGAGGCCACCCAGGCCCACCAAGGGTGCTTTCTGGCCCACCACCAGGGCCTGGCTGCTGTATTTGAGCAGGTTCTTCATGGCTGAGACCTCGTCTGGCGGCGCAGGCAGTTCCTGGGGCAGAAGAGCCGCCTGCTGCAGGCCACTGCCAAAGGGGTCCAGGTAGGCGCCAGCCTTGCGCTCCTCGCTGATGGCCATGGCGGTGCCCTGGCCTGCCTGGACACCCCATGGGGGCAGGTGGGGCCCACTGTAGCCCAGGGATGCCAGCTCCAGGGACTTGCGCTTGGCCTCAGCCCCAATGCCCCCCTGCTCCACCTCGGCGGCCATCAAGTGCTGCTGGTGCCTGATGCGGGCCACCTTCTGTGCCCCTGGGGGGCCGGCCGGGGCTTCCTTGCCAACAGTCTTATCTAAAGTGCAGCAGGCCTGGGGGGCCTTCCCGCCCAGCGGGTCCTGGTGACCAGGCCGGGCACAGTCCTGTGAAGAGGTGGGCAACTCGAAGTAGCCGCTTTTGTCCAGACCGCTTTTAGGGAGTCCGGGGAAGGAGGCCTCGGGGCCTGCGCTGCTGAGATAGTCGAGGCCCTTTAGCCGGGGGTTGAGGGCCGCCTCAAAGCCCCCAGGCCGCCGCTCGCCCTTGCCCTCGGCCTTCAGGTGGGCATAGGAGACTCCATAGGGTGCAGCGTGGTCGGGGGCCATGGTTCCCTCCAGGTGCCGGTCCTTGCCCTCCCCTGCCACGGCACAGGCCTCGGCGGCCTGGAAGGGGCGGCCCTTGTCGGCCAGGTGTCCCACAGAAGGCACGAAGGTGGGCCCGCTGGCCTTTAGGTCCCGGGGGGCTTTGTCCTGCAGCGGGCAGAGCCCGTCAGGGCCCCCGTGCAGCTGCAGGCAGGGGAAGGAGCCGGCGGCTGTGCTGAGGGGCGGGGGCGGCCCGGCGTAGGATGCGGTGTGGTGTAGCATCTGCCGCCGCTCCAGGCACTCGCTGAAGGCCGGCCCGGGCTCCGGGGGGCCTGCTGCCTCCTTTGCACAGCGCCCGGAGGTCACCACCCCCGCGCCAGGCCGCCCCAGCATGCCCCCTGCACAGCTGGCTAGCGCAGCCCTGCCCATCTCGCCGTTGAGCACCTTGGTGTTGAGGAGGCAGGAGGTGAGGTGCTTGGGGCGGCCCTCGCAGGCCCCTCGGGGTGCGGGGCCGCCCTCCCTGCAGTGCCCGTCGGCTGGCACGGGCAGCACCAGCTTGTGCCGCTCCTTGCCACCGTCCTCCTCTGCCGCTGGCCGCTCCTTGCCCTCAGCGGCCTTGCCCGCCTTCTCTCTGCCCAGCTCTTTGCCCACGAGGAAGCGGTCGAAGTCCTTGGGGCCCTTCTGCAGGGAGCCTGCCTCACCCCGGTCTCGATCCCGGCTGCAGGAGCCCATGGGGTGGGCAGGGGCGGCCCGGGCCACGCTGGGGAAGTTGTGGTTGGCCGGCAGCAGCGTGGGCTGGGGCGGCAGGTTGCGCAGGTAGAAGTTATCTGTGTGGGAAAGAGCCAAGGTCAATGGGAGGCCTTAGGGGTGAGGCTGGAGAAAGACTCCCTGAGACAGGTGCTCCAGGTGCCTCCCGGACACCAGCTGGCACTGACTCCAGGTTACAGCCTAGGGAAGGTTTTTGCTTTCTTTTTTTTTTTTTTTGAGACGGAGTCTCGCTCTGCCCTCTGTCGCCCAGGCTGCAGTGCTGTGGCGTGACCTCGGCTCACTGCAAGCTCCACCTCCCGGGTTCACGCCATTCTCCTGTCTCAGCCTCCCGAGTAGCTGGGACTACAGGAGCCCGCCACCAGGCCCAGCTAACTTTTTGTATTTTTAGTAGAGACGGGGTTTCACCATGTTAGCCAGGATGGTCTCGATCTCCTGACCTCGTGATCCACCCGCCTTGGCCTCCCAAAGTACTGGGATTACAGGCGTGAGCCACAGCGCCGGGCTGGTTTTTGCTTTTGTTTTTATAAAATTGTAGTGAAATATGGGTAACATAAAATTTCCCATTTTTGGTGCACAGTTCAGGGGCACTGGGCACACTCCCCCTGCCGTGCAGCCGTCACGAGCATCCATGGCCAGAACCTCTCACCTCCCCGAACCGCAGTTCTGTCCCCGTGAAACACTCACCCTCTGCCCCCATGTTCAGCTCCCCACACCTCAGAGATGGGAGATGCAAACCCGAGGCCAGTCTCTCCCCTGCCTGGCCCAGTGCCAGTGGGGATTTTCGGGGGACGCGGGGCAGGCAGTGGATTTTCGGGGGATGCGGGGCAGGCAGTGAGTGTTACAGAGCATCTCTGCTGGGTCTTTACAAACAGGCACCAAGACCTTGGAAACCAGGGACAGGTGGCAGGCGCAGCTCCTGGCGCCCCCAGAGGAGAGGCGAGGAAGGACGGGTGGGTCGCGGAGGAAGGGCTCACCCACCTGCTGGACACCCTGGGAGCTCCCAGCCCCTCGGCCTCTCATCTGGGTGTCTCAGGCTGCTGGGGCTAGGGTAATATGTTGAAATGGAGAAAGGCCAGTGGCTCCGGGGGCAGAGAGCAGCAGCTGTGCTCACCCTGCCTGGTGGGGGGTGAGTGTCTGGGGTCCCTGAAACGGTTGCCCAGCCTGGGCCCTCGGTCTGGGCCCTCCCTTCCCGGCTAGGGTCTGCCCCAAGCTCTCCACACTCCCGGCTGCCCTGGGGTTACCCATCGCCCCACAGAGGGGGCCAGGCCACCGCCTCTGGGGACCCTGGGGGTGCTGTCCCTCTCCACACCCAGCTGGGTGGGTGGGCAGCAGGGTGGTGCCAAGAGCAGAGGGAGCTGACAAGGGGAGAAACAAAAGAAACATTTGGAACTTGTAAAATTGTCCTCAGGCATGTAAATTCCTTGTCAATTTCCTGCTAATTAGAAACAAGGGGGAAGGGGAGCGGGAAGGGGCTAGCCCCAGCGAAACCTAATTAGCTCCATTTCCAAAACCAAATACTGTTCTTGGACACAGCTCCACCAAAATATTGTGAAAGCCGAGAGGCCTGGCCGGCCCACTGCCCAGAGGGAGTCCCCTGTGCTGGTGGAGGGGTTGGGTTTCTGGGGTTGGGACCCGCCACCTGCCCGCCCCTGACAAACACTGTCAAAATAACTGCACGCGCTGGGGCTGACGCGGTTCTAGGGGAACGGGGCCTGCGGGGCTGTCCTCTGGGCAGCAGAGCCCGTCCACAGGAGCTGGGGTGTGGGGTGAGGAGACCGGTTTGGGTGCCTGTCCTGGGTGAGAGCTGAATCCCCTGGGTGGGGCTGGTGGTGAGTTCCTGGCCCCCATGCCTGCTCCCCTGCAGCTGGCTGACAAGGGCAAGGCCAAGGCCCTCCTGAGCCTTAGCAAATCTCGGGCTCCTGCAGGCGAGGAAGTGCAGGCCACACAGAGGTCCTGGAGTGAGTATGAGGTGGGGAGAAGGGGCTGAGGGGCAGCCAAGAGAGGGTGGGCAGACTGGCCTCGGGTCCCTACCCCACAGCTCACACTCAGAGTTGGGGTCATCATGGCCACTCATGAGCACAGGCTCACTGGGGTCCCCTCCCTCTGTTCCCTTCAGGGTGTCTAGTCTGCCTCCCAGGCCCTGTGGGGGCCTTTCTGGGCCTCTCCTCTGCCCCCACCCTGAGCTCCAGCCCTAAACGCCAGGGCTCCTGGGCTCCCGGGCTCCCAGGAGCTGTGCGGAAACCATCTGTCCCCACCTCCCTTCTCATCCCCCACAGCCTGGGCGTCCCTCTCCACAGTCGGGACAACCTCCCAGTCCACCCCTCCCCACTGACCCCACCCCGTGTGTCCAGACACCTCTCGGATCCCCTTGGGGAGACGCCCCAGCCCCTCTGCACTGAAGCAGAACTCACCCCACCGTCCAACTGCTGCTCCCCAGGTGCACCCTCCCATAGCCCAGGCCAGAAACCGGGGGCCACCTAGACCCCTCTATCCCTCCCTGCCCCCAATCTCCCTCCTAGATATCACCGATGCCGGCCCCTGTGGGGCCCCACACCTGTATCGCTTCTCACTGGAACCTGGTAACTAACCGATGGCTTCCTGCTCCAGCCTCCTGGTGTCACCCCAAGGAGAACTTTTTAAAATGCAAATGAGATGTCGCCCTACCAGAGGAAACCCAACTTGGAGATAAGGACCCACACCCATCCCACCTCCAGCCAGGCCCTCTCCGGTACCCTGAGGGGACTCGCTGGCACCAGGACTCGGCTCTGCTGGGCCTGAGCTTCCTCTTCCCCAAGGCCCCACCGGCTCTGACTTCTCAGCAAAGACAAAGTCTGCATCCCTTCTTCAGGGATGCCTGCTGCCAATGGGGTGAGCAGCCCCTCTGTCCACCAGGACACGGGGCTGGGGGGCTGGGGGCTGGGGGCTGGGCCTCGTGCAGCCCAGGTCTAGCCGAGGCCACCGGGTGTGTAAGCCAGGAAGTGCGGGCTTCTGTGGGCTTCCTCCAGCCCCCACAGGATGCATCCTCCTCCTGAGCCACCCCACCATCCCCGGGCTGCTGGGGGCTGCAGGGCAAGGCCAGGTCCTGAGGAAGCCGGTGGGGCTAGGGTGATGAGGAAGGTGGGCACCAGCTCAGCTGCTCCCACCTGAGCAGTGAGAGGTCTTGAGACAGCGTGACCTGGGAACTGAACCTGCGCCTGGGGGTGGTCCTGGGCCCCTGGGTTTAAATCCTGAGGGGCAGGCCCACCCTCTCCTCTAGCCCCCACCCTGGCCTCGATGACACCTGGTGGGAGGGCTAACCTAGGCTGGCCTTTCCCTTGTGCCCCAGAAGCTCCTGCGCCCCCTCCCCACCTCCAGCATGCCTGCTCCCCACGCCGGTCCCATGCTGCACTTGCCTTTTTGGGTTCCATAGAAACGGTGCTGCCCATAGAGAACGTTGCTGTTTCCATGGTGATCCAAGTGGCTCACGGGTAGGAAGGTGGATGCCAGACTCCCCGAAAATCTGGGGTACCCCGGAGCTAGAGAAGCAAGAGACCCAGTTGCAGAGGCAACTCCCAGCCCCCTGGCCCACACTCGCCCTGACCCCAGGGAGGCAAGAAGCCGGCAGGCAGCCCAGGAGCGATGTCCCGCAGAGCCCAGCACGCAGCCGCCGGGGGGAAATCAACCCATCAATACATCATATTAACTCTGACTCCACTAATGCCATCCCTCCGGTGCGGCACAAATTGAATTGCTGATGGGCTGGGGAGAGGGGAGGACGGACGAGGGGGCCTCTGTTCCCTCCTAGCAGCACTCAGGATCGCGGAAGCTCCCAGGCTGGGCAACAAAAGGGACTCTGGGGAGGTTTTGTGGGAGGAGGGGGCACGGTGGACAGACTCTGCGCCAAGGCCCTGGCCAAAGGAGAACCAGGCCCGGACTTGGCCTCCCCAAGGCAGGCCCCAGGGCCCAGTGGACAGCCCAGGCCAGGGGCCAGTGCTGCTGGGGTGTGGCCAGCCTCCCCCGACCCTGGCTGGAGGTCACAGGTGTGTCCATCCGACGCCGAGTTCCCACCATGGCCAGGCCTCTTCCGGCTCTGAGATCTGCACAGGGTGGGGAAGGGACGGGGGCAAAGAGTTCCTTGCACAGGCCCCAGCCCCAAAACCCCAGGCGGTGACTCCGAGTCATGCCAGACAGGCCCCTCTCTTGGCTAAGGGGTCTGTCTGTCCCTCAAGGCAGCCACATTTCTGAGCGGCCTGCCCCTGCCCAGCACAGGAAAGCCAGCCACACCCAGCCACCCACGCGGCTGGCCCTGGGCCTTGGGACAGCTCTGGCTGTGTGGGGCACACTTGCCCCCACCCAAGGGATGAAGCACAGCTGGCAGGTCAGGACAGGGCTGAGCATGGCCTGGGAGGCCTGCAGGCACCAGAACCCAGCCCAGGGGCTGCAGAGAGCATGTCTGCTGGACACCAGGGACACCAGCCACAAGGAGTGTGGCTTCTGGTTCCCCAGCAAGACCCCAGGCCACTGGCAGAGCTCTGAGACTCAGACCCGCCCAGCCCCAGCCCCAGCCCTCCGTGCAGTGCAGGTGGTGCCAGTGCCGGCCGGCCTGCCTTAGCAGCTGCCTGAACGTGAGGGCCGAGCGGCTGGCTGTGGTTGGGGGTCTGGCAGCCTTCTGTAGGCCTGAGGAGAAGACGTTTGAGGCAACCCACAGCTTCAACCTGCCGGAATGAACGCAGCTGGGCGGGGCAGGGCGGGGGGCCCTCACCCTCTAAAACTCCTGCTCTGAATCTTCCCTGGAAAACAGGCCCCCTAGTCCAACTGGGGCACCCCACACCGCAATCCCAGTGGGTCCCCCAGCAGTGGCAGGCACTGTTCGATCCTCTCTGGCTCAGTGGATCCCAGGGAAATCTGTGGAGCTTGAGCCCCAGGAGATGCTCCAGGAAACCCAAGCTCTGGGTCACCAGCTCCAAGAATGCACCCCACACACGTCCCATTTGGAGTCGTGTAGGGCGTGAGCACAGGGAAGGCCCTGGGAAGTCCTGCGACACGGAGGCCTGCTTGACAGGGTGAAGCCCCATCTCCCTGTGAGGCCGCACATCCCAGGCCAAGTCTGGGAACCTGGGGAGGGCGCCCTGGCCCTGGTGCAGCCCTGCAGCTGCCCTCCAGCTGAGGACACGGGGCTGAGGCTCGAGCCTGGCCGACTGGCCTGGTCTGTGTGGGAGCTGCATCTGGAGCAGCTGTTTACCAGATTAAACTCCAATCCTGGAAGATTCGACCAAAGCTGAGAGGGACGGGGTGGGAGCGACCTGGGGCGGGGGTAGGGGAGTGGCAGGGCAAGGGGCAGGGCCTTGGGGGGTACTGTTAAACCTCCACAGCTGTCCCCCTTTAATTGGCTGCTGTTAAATGTTTTACGAGGCCTCATTTTGGTAAACAGAAGTCTGTAAATTCCTCCTTCCCAGACACCGTTTCCCAGGCACGGAGCCCCGGTCCCCCCTCCAGAGGTCCAGGCCTCCAGCCCATCCGCTCTCTGCGGGGAGCAGGCAGTCAGCTGGCAGAGGAGTGGGCTCCTTCCCGCCGGTCCCCTCTGGGGGCAGCTGCGGGTGGGCAGCTATGCGTGTCCCTCAGCTGCTGGGCCTTGGCTGGTGGCCCCTGGGCTGGTGAGCAGGGCAGCACTGGCCAGGGCCCGAAGACCAAAGGCCTGGCTGGTGCCCCCATCCTTGCCTGCTTGGGTCCCCACCTCTGAGGACCCAGAGGGGAAGTTAGGGAGCCAGGGAAGGAGGAGGGAGTGGGGAGATGGGATGGAGGGGCGGGGAGCAGAGAGGGAGGGGCTGGGTGCCGGAGAGGCCCAGTCGGCAGGGTGGGGTCATCTTTGGGCAGGGGGCAGAGAAAGGAAGGGAAAAGGTCCTCCCAGCCCAGCGACAGAAAGCCCCTTTCTTTTTCCCAATAAGACCATACTCTCAAAACTGAGAAAGAAAATTTAAAAATGATTTTTATGAATCAGAGCAGCTGTTCTGAGGCCAGAAGCCAGAAGGCAGGGCTGCTGTGGCTGGGCCGGGGACACACAGGCATCCTGGAAGGGGCTGCCACTGAGGAGTGGGGGAAGGCAGGGCTGCTGCGGCCGGGCCGGGGACACACAGGCATCCTGGAAGGGGTTGCCACTGAGGAGTGGGGGTGGTGGTCCTGGGGAGGGCTCCAGGGGGACAGTAGAGGCCCCAGATGGCAGGGAGGGGACATTCCGGGGCCAGAGACCAAGAGGGCTCAGCCAGCAGGGTCTGGGGCCATATGAACCCAGAGCCAGAGGTCCTCAACTGCAAGCTCCTGCTAGAACGTCGGGGCTCCAGAACCTCCCCTTCCCAGACCCCTTTGAGACGGGAGCTTTTATGATCACCCCAACAGACAAGGGCAAGCCCTGGGCTAAGCGAACCGCCAGAGAGGTGGTCAGGACACAGGCTGCTGGTGCCCTCGGAGCCTGGTGGAGCGTGGGGAAGAGCCCTGGGGGCAGTGGGGGTCGCACCGAGGTCCCCACATCCTGCCCCTGCTACTGCGGTGGGCAGGAGACTCCAAACTCAGTCCTGTGATGGGACAGACTGCAGGAGACAGAGGCTCAAAGCCACAGGCACCTGATGGGTTAGTAAAGCCAGGGGGCCACGCGTGGGCTGGGCGGGGGACACAATGGCCACACCCCCAGACCCCTCCCAACCACCCCCAGGCCTGAGCTCACCACGTCTGGGGAGGTCAAGGGTTGCAGGTAGGAGGCCTGTGGTGTGGGCAGGAGGAGAGAGAGTGGGCAGTCAGTGGGGGTCGGGGGTGCCCCTGGGGCAGGGCTGAAGGACAGAGGAGTGGGAGGGCACCGTGCAGAGAAATGGGGGCTGGGGACGGCCAGGGGTGAGGGGACCCTTCCTTTCCTCCTGCCCACCTGGAGAAGGGAGGCCTGGTGGCTTCTCACCCCTGGGGAGGGAGGAGGAGCCCCCACCCAGGGTGCACCAGCCCTGGCTGCCTGACGGGCACCCCCACTCCAGGTACCTCATCCCCCTCATCCCTCCTGCGTTCTGACACAGCACATTTTCCCAACAGCCCCGCACGTCGAGGCCCTGCCCTCTCCAGGCCAGCCCTGCGCCTTCCTCCTCTTGCCAGATCTGGGGAGGTGGCCACAACCCACCCCCCAGGCTGCCCTTCCAGGGAGCATCCCTGCCGTGGAAAACCAGGGGCTGCTCCTGGGTCTCTCAGGATGCTGAACTTGGGGTATCTTCACGGCCAGGTCTAGGAGGGAGGGACGCCAGCCAGCAGAAGGACCAAGATCACCTGGGGGGTCAGGGGACTTCCCACTGCAGGGTCACCCAGGAAGCCCCACTTGGGGCCACAGAGCTCAGGGCCAGGATGCTGCAGGCTCAGCAAACTTCTGGGGGTGCTGAAGCACACCTCGAGCGCCCTGCCCCAGCCCGCACGCCTTTGAGGACAAAACCTTCTACAGCGGACACCCCACCATCCTGACAAACGGCAGTGCCTCCTCCCTGGGGGAAGGTCTGCCACGCTGGCCTCCCACGGCTGAGCCTCGACCTGTCTCCCACTGCAGTACCACCTCGGCTCCCACATGCGCCTGGCTGGGCGGGCAGTGGGTCATGCAGTCAGCTGGGCGTGGCCCCGAGCCTGGAATGTGCACGTGGGCAGCCAGCCTGGGAGGCCCTGGGGAACGTGGGAGGCTGTGGGCACTGTCTCAAATACCCACTGTCCAGCGAGGGCCCATCCTCCTGGCTCAGAAGCAGACACCCCTCCCCCACCTCCTGCCAACTCTGCCAGATCCCCTGTTACTCCCCCCACAGTGACCCCAGGGGAGTCCCGGGAGACCCCTGGCCTGGCAAGTGGTCCCTGCTCCTCTTGAGGTTCTGCACATCGTCCCTGTCACGCAGGACGTCCCTGCCGTGCAGCCACACGCACGAGGCTCAGCCTGGCCTCCACCCGCCCGCAACTCAGCACTGGCTCTTCACGGGACACCCCCGTCACTCAGGGTGTCAGTGGGTTTCAGGTGCAGTGCACGGGTCTACCCGATGACCGCCAGGCCCCGAGTGCTGGGCTGACACAGATTCTGAAACCCTGTCCGCATGCGGCACACAAAGTGCTGTAGTTGACGGATGATGGCTGCCCTGAGCACACGGGGACCTCGGTGGACTGACGACACCTGCCCGGGGCACAGGAGGGGCCTCGGTGGACTGATGACACCTGCCCGGGGCACACAGGGGCCTCGGTGGACTGATGACTCCTGCCCTGGGCACAGGAGGGGCCTTGGTGGACTGATGACACCTGCCCTGAGCACACGGGGACCTCGGTGGACTGATGACACCTGCCCTAAGCACAGGAGGGGCCTCGGTGGACTGATGACACCTGCCCTGGGCACACAGGGACCTCGGTGGACTGATGACTCCTGCCCTGGGCACAGGAGGGGCCTCGGTGGACTGATGACTCCAGCCCTGGGCACAGGAGGGGCCTCAGCAGTGACTGCAGCTATGGGCAGTTCCCACTCCCACTCTAGGGCCGGAAGGGCCTACAGCCTTGCAGCGGCCCCTTCCCTAGTCCTGTCTGCTCTCTGCCATACACCCCTGCTCCCACACACGGCCCCTCACCCCAGGTGGGCAGGCCCCCGGGTGTCCAGGCTGTGTTTCAAAGTGCAGCTCCCAGGACATGAGTGGTTGCGGGGCGGCACAGCAAGAGATTCGTTCTTGGAGCTGGAGTGCCCAATCCTTGGGGCCCCCTGAGGCTTCAGAAGCTCAGCCTCTTCCCCATCCACAGGCCTGCAGGGAACTGGCCCAAGTGGTGACCCACAGCTGCCTCAGGGGCGGGCCGGGCCAGCTCCATCTGTTCCCAGGCTGAGCAAGGTAGCTAAGAGCGGGAGCAGGTGCCAGGTTCCCATGGGAGCCTCCAGAATGAACGCAGTGGGCAGCCTGCCCAGGATCCAGGCACCAACCCCACAGGGAGGAGCGCAGCCTTCCTGGGGATGGGGGGACGGGTGGGCCTGGGGATGGGGGGGGAGGTTGGGCCGTGGGGATGGGGGGAAGGGTGGGCCGTGGGGAGTGGGGGGGGAGGTGGGCCGTGGGGGAGTGGGGGCGGAGGGTGGGCCGTGGGGAGTGGTGGGGGGAGGGTGGGCCGTGGGGATGGGGGGGGAGGGTGGGCCTGGGGATGGGGCGGAGGGTGGGCCTGGGGATGTGGGGGGAGGGTGGGCCTGGGGATGGGAGGGAGGGTGGGTCTGGGGCTCGGGGGGAGGGTGGGTCTGGGGATGGGGGGGAGGGTGGGCCTGGGGATGGCGGGGAGGGTGGGCCTGGGGATGCGGGGGAGGGTGGGCCCGGGGATGGGAGGGATGGGGTCTGGGGCTCAGGGGAACAGGTGGGCCCGGGAGGGTGGGTCCAGGGCTGGGGACGGAGGTTGGGTCCAGGGCTGGAGGGGAGGGTGGGCCCGGCGATGGGAGGGAGGGTGGGCCTGGTGATGGGTGGGAGGGTGGGTCCGAGGCTGGGGCCGCCCTCAAGCCACAGGGGGCAATGGACAGTTCTCGGAGCGTGGAGCTAGAAGCAACCACACGACCCCCAAAACCTTCGCCGGCACCCTGGACATCAGCTCTGGCTACCAGGGAACTCCCTTCCGCCTGTCCACCAGGACCTTCCTCACGTTCCCCAGGCAGCGTCCTTGACACATAGGTCATTGTACCGGGGCCACAGGCATGACACCAGCCAGCCCCACACACAGGCACACAGGAGACGGTGCACCTGCCGGGGCGGCTGCACCATCGGTCAGATCCAGGGATGTCAGCCTAGGAAGGCCGCACCCCATCCCCAGTGACCAAGGCCACTGGCCCCAGCAGTGGACAGCCGCTGCAGGACACGGGAGGGAAGTTGCTCTTTGTGTCTGTATCACATGGGGTCTGGACAGCTGTTCTCATGGGTGTGGCAGATAGAGAAACTGAGGCTGGGCATATGAACTCGAAGCTAAGACAGCTCTGGGTCTGTGACGACCCCTGCCCTGCCCACCTGCCCTGCACATAGCAGGGGCCCATGCCGCATCTGCCACAGTCCTGCCCTGTCCTGCGGTGCCTGGGTGTGCGCAGGGGCTCGGGTGCAGCCTCCTGGGTCCCAGAGCAGCCTCTAGCCCAAGTCCCTGGCTAAGTCCCTGGCTCCTGGAGAGCAGGAGCTTGCGGGGCAGAGGGTACACCTACTCCAAAGCACGGCAGGTCAGAGGGCAGGGAGGGGATGAGGGGACAGGCTCTCAGTCACACACAATCCTCAGCCTCAGTTTCCTCAGCTGTAAAATGGGCGCAAGCACCACTGTGCTGTGCAGCATTGCCAGGGGGAGGCAGGTGCCATCCCAGGGCCAGGCTCATAACAGAAGTGCAGTCATCCTGCCCAACCTCAAGCCAGGGCTGGTCCTGGGAACCCTGAAGCTGCAGGGACCAGGCCCTTTATCCAAACCAGGGGTGGCCCTCTCCCCAACCTCCCTGGGGCTCAGGTTCTGCCACCTGGGATGTCCCTATCCTGGCTTCCCCAAGTCTGTGTCTCCCCTAGCCACCTCCATACAGCCCTCTGCCAGGTGTGGACCTGGGTGCTGGTCACCATGGCCACGGGATGAAACCCCTGCACTCAACAGTGACTGGCAGCACTCAGCCAGGCCGTGAACATGAGGCTATGCATAAAGTCTCAGCGGGCTGGGGGTTGGGAACTGCCAGGGCCTGAGGGCAGACTCCAGTGGGGACAGGAGGCTGGGACCCTGGCAGGGTGGCCGGCCAGGGCAGGCCACGGTGAGGGGCCGAGGGTATGGGAGGGCTGGCTCCCGAAAGCCATAGGACACCTCCGGAGGGGGGATCATAGGCCTGGATGGGGCAGCCGCCCTCTGGCTGAGAGAAGCTGGCGGGAGGTAGCCGGCCCAGCAGAGCCCCTCCACCCCCACGCTGGGATCCCCACGCTGTCCCCTCCACCCCCACGCCGGGACCCCCACGCTGTCCCCTCCACCCCCACGCCGAGACCCCCACGCTGTCCCCTCCACCCCCACGCCGGGACCCCCACGCTGTCCCTCGCATCCCAGCGGAGCCAGCTTGTCCCCACTGGCCCAACTCTCCCTCGCACATGGGCAGGGACAGCAGGTCTAGGCAGGGCAAGGGCCACACCCCCCACATAGATGTGGTAGAAACGTCAGTGCTGGGGTGGTCAGCGGGCCTGTGGGAGACAGACCAAGAAGCTGTTTTAGCCACCGAGGAAACCGAGGCCGGGAGAGGAAGGAGGAGCTGAAGGGGTCTGGGAGGAAGCAGCAGGTCCCTGGCAGGCATCACAGGAAGGATGGAGCTGGGGCCCCAGTACCTCTGAGGACACTCGGGGTGGGTGGGCGCTGGTGGGACCTCTGTCCCTTAAACAGATGTGGTCCCAGCTCCTGCTCACTCCCAGCAGCACCAGCGAGTCCTGAGACCTCAGAGGGGACGAAGGGGACAGAGGAGCAGCTGGCAGGATGCAGGAAGCTGCGGGGCTCCGTTGGCAGGGAGTGCTCGGCATGCGTAGCCCCGGACCCCCAGGAGCTGGCCAGGCCCAGTGAGAAGTGGCCGCTGGTGGGGCGTGGTTCTGACCAAGAGGCCGGCCAGGCGGAGAGCCAGCGCGTGTGTGTGCCTGCCGCCCCCATGGCTCCCCCCAGGTGGCACAAGAGACCACGAGTGGCCTCAGTGGGGATCTCAGCAGCCCCTGCCCCCACCCCTTCCCAGCTGAGCCCCCCAGGAACAGAATCCTCTTTCATTGGCCCTGTGGGTGGTCCTGGCCAGGCAGCTGGGGGGCGCGGTGGGGAGGGAGGGGACCAGGCCTGCTGACAATAGGGCCAGCTGTGTGTGCCCCCACCCCTGCTCTCATCCTCATCCACCCAGGACAGGCTGCCCAGCAGGAGCTCACCTCTGCCCCTGGCCAGTTCCGCCTCCCGCCCCCACCCCAAGCCCCAGAGAGGCCCACCGCTGGTGGGAGCGCGAGCCTCGGGTAAGCTGCGGGCCGGGAGGAGCTGAACAGACAGGCTCTGCCCAGGCCAGATGTTCCGGGCGGCTCCTCCAGCTCCGGGCTGCCTCTGCTGCACCCCCAGCTGCTCCCCCGGGGAAGCAGGAAGCCCTGGCCCGCTCGAGGGGCTGCCCTGCAGATGGGGAGAGAGGAGGCCCCGCTTGGCATGGGGGGTTCCTGGGGCTACCCCAACCTGGGTTCCTGGTGGCCTGCCCCACCCTGGCCTACCTACCCTCAACGAAAGCCCTGGGCTGGGGAGGGGGTGGCAAGCTGGCTTGGCCAGGCACCTGCCTCCTGCCCATCCTGGGCCACTAGGAGGAAACGTGGGCAAGGCCAACCGCCCAGGCAGCCCGCTGTGCCTGCTGGCCCCCACTCTCCGGCCGAGTCGCGTGCCCCCCACCCACCTCACTCCCCTTCCCCCATGAACACACACGGCAGAGAAACAGGCCCGGCGCACGGGGAGCCAGCTGGCACCCTGTCAAACTAGCAGCCAGGCATGCTGCCCGGGCAGCCAGCCAGCCTCTCACCCTGGCCCGCCGGCCCTGGCCTCTGCCGCTCAGCTCACAGCGCGGCAGCTCCATGTGGTCTGTCGGGGAGCACGGCTGCGTGGCAGGGAACCCCCGCAGGGAGGGGAGGGGATCCCGGGGGGTGGGACAACTGAACTGAAGGCAGAGCAGGGGACAGCAAGCTGGAGCACGGGCCTCGCAGGTGTGTGGCCTTGGAGGCTCTGCCACCCTCGGGGGGCACCCACACCCATCCTCAGCCCCGGGTGGGCCTTGCATTCTGGGGCCCAGGCGGGCGGCTCAGAGGCCACGCCCTGCACCCCCTTGTCCCGCCTCCACCCGTGCTGGTCCACCCAGCCCACTGTCCCGCACACGTGCCCACCCCCACCTGACACGGACAGCGGGAGATGCGTCTCGCCCAGCCAGGGTGCCAGGTGCCCAGCAGGGTGGACAGGTGAACCTCCTCGGTGTGACACAGCCAGGGCCACTGTGGGCACTGTCCTCTCCTCCGGCTCAGGCCACCCCCGCCTGGAGGAGCTACTTCCCTGGGACGCAGATAGAAGGGGCTCAGAGGCCCAGACGCCAGGG
Source organism: Homo sapiens (assembly GCF_000001405.40). Lineage (NCBI taxonomy): Eukaryota > Metazoa > Chordata > Mammalia > Primates > Hominidae > Homo > Homo sapiens. The sequence goes on along the minus strand of NW_025791805.1, from coordinate 85,042 downwards.
GCTCACGTCGACACTTGTGGCAGGACATTGGCTTCCCACCCAGCCAGGGGGACTCCCAAGGGCTCGGGAGCAGATGGAACCCACCGATGCCGGGCCCCATGTGAGGGGCTGAGAAGTGGTGGGGGTCCCCGGGGTGGGATGTGGGCAGCTCCGCCCAGGCAGCCGTTGGCACAAGGGGAAGTGAGTGTCTAGAGGCCGTTGTGGGTGCTGTCTGCCTGTGGGCCACCACACACCCACCCTCTGAGCAGCCCCCAGAGGGGCGGGACGGGGGCTCCAAGGCAGGTGGTGCTACCCACAAACGGCCCTCCTTGCTGCTGGGGTCCCCCAGGGTGGGTGGAGGGAGTGGGGTAGGAGCTCTCTCCTGGTGCAGAGAGCATTGGGGATGGGCTGGTGCCACTTCTGGGCCCTGACTAGGGGCCACCACTGCCAGGAGGGGAAACCAAGTCAGTGGTCCTAGGTGGATCTGTGCACCTGTGGCTGGGCCAGGACCAGGCAGCGGCCGTTGCGTCTGTTGTGGGGGGTTCACCACGGCTGCCGCAGGCCTCCCCTTCCTGCTCCCCCGGTGCCAGGCCACCCTCCTCCCTCCCACAGACATCCTGGGAGCCAGATGCTGTGGCTGGCCGGGGCGTTTGCCCACAGACACAAAAGGCTGAGGCGGGGTGGGGCATATGAGCCAGGAAGGCGGGGCCCCCACAGCCAGCCCAGGAGCCATGGCCAGCCTGGTCTCCCCTCCAGGAGGCCGCTAGTAGTGCAGGGGTGGGAGGAAGGGGCAGGGGAGTCTGGGCAGGGGAGTCTGGACCGAGGACCCCATGCTGCCCACCGCATCCCAAGGTAGCGGCCTCCCCTGCACCCAGGAAGAGGCCACTCCTTATCGCCTGCCCAACATGTGCGCCCTGAGCCGAAAGCCCAGATTATTTCAGCAACTGTCCCTCACTCGTCACCTGTTCTGTTTGGAAAACAGCCCCTTTCTTGTTGCACAAAGAGAGGTTTCTCTGCTTCCAGCAGTGCCGGGTGCTAATCTCCCTGCCTGGAACGGGGCGGTGGCGTGGTGTGTGGGTCCGCGGCGCTCTGTAAACACGACGCCCGCCGCTCAGCAGTCATTGAGTTACGGCAGTGCTGGGTGCCAGGAGCGGAGAGCCCTGTGTGCCCGCTGCCAACTGCAATTACCTCTCTGCGTGCCAGCCGCGGGGGGCGGGGGGAGCTTAACCCTTCCCACGCTGTAGGGTTGGGGTGGCCGAGGGAATACCAGCAACTGTGGGCCCAAGGACATGGGGGCCCAGGGCCGCCTCCTAGGCTGCAGGGCAAGGGGTCTGAGCAAGCACGGGGATCCAGGCAGGGGTGCCCTGCCACGGAAAGGCCAGGGGGGCCTCCAGGAGTCTCCTGCTGGCCAGGCAGCCTGAGAGTAGCCAGTATTCGCGAGGCACCTACTGTGTGTCCAGGGCTGTGTCCCACGGGGAGGCAGGTGGCCTGGGAGGAACTCTTTGTCCTGGGACAGGCCCCTGGGTGGCAGCCTGTGTGCGCTGACAGCTCTCCCCGCCCCGGCCCCCTCCTCCAGCTGGCACATTTGGAGCCCGCCTCCTAGCGTCTGGGGAGGTGGGGCACGGCCACTGTGAGGGTGAGCCCAGCCCGGCCGGCCCAGCTGTGCTCCACATTTTCTCAGCTCCCCAGAGCCCCTCCTGGCCCCCCTGTTTCCCCTTGCTGCCCATCTGGAGCACACATCTGGCCAGGACCACTGCCGAACAGGCTGCCCTTGTTTCCAACCAATCACCACTTCCCCCGGGGCTTCCTCGGCAGGGAGGCAGCCTCACCCGAGCCTGCTTGTCACCGTCCACCGGCCAGGTTCCCACGGCCACGATGGGAGCCCCTCACCTGCCCCTGGCCCGGGCACCAGGGTCAGTCTCTTGGCCACCAGGGTGTCGCTGGGAGCCCAGTCCGCCAACTTACCTTCGTGGGAGTGGGAGAACCAGATCTGGGAGGTGGTGGGGTGGGAGCCACGGTAGGCCTGCTCAGGGGGGGAGGAGCTGGGGCCGCTGGGGTGCGTGGAGGCTGCCGAGCCCAGGCTGCTGGTGAGGAAACTGCCCATGAACGAGGAGGCCGGAGAACTTCCCATCAGGCGGCTGCTGGCTGTGGACACAGGGCAAGAGTGACTCTGGGGGCAGCTCCCAGGGTGTGGCCTGAGGCAGGGCAGGGGCAACACCACAGCCCTTCTCCACAGGGGACTCTCAGGCCCCAATCTCCCCCAGAGCCTTTGACTTTCAATATCCAAGAAACCGATGATGGGAAAGGTTACCCCCATATGCCTTTGACTGCCACACTCAGAGTCCTGAGTCTTTTGGTGCCCCAGGTGTCCTGGTACTGACACTCTCCTGCTGTTGCAAACCCAAGAACGACATCTTTGTCACAAGCACATCACCACCACCACCACCACGAGCCATATCACCCACCACTATCACCCCCAACCACATCACCCACATCACCCCCAACCACATCACCCACCACTATCACCCCCAACCACATCACCCACGACTATCACCACCAACCACATCACCCACCACTATCACCCCCAACCACATCACCCACGACTATCACCACCAACCACATCACCCACCACTATCACCCCAACCACATCACCCACGACTATCACCACCAACCACATCACCCACCACTATCACCACCAACCACATCACCCACCACAATCACCCCCAACCACATCACCACCAACCACATTACCACCAACCACATCACCCACCACTATCACCCCCAACCACATCACCCACCACTATCACCACCAACCACATCACACCAACCACATCACCCACCACTATCACCCCCAACCGCATCACCCACCACTATCACCACCAACCACATCACCCACCACTATCACCCCAACCACATCACCCACGACTATCACCACCAACCACATCACCCACCACTATCACCCCCAACCACATCACCCACGACTATCACCACCAACCACATCACCCACCACTATCACCCCCAACCACATCACCCACCACAATCACCCCCAACCACATCACCCACGACTATTACCACCAACCACATCACCCACCACTATCACCACCAACCACATCATCACCAACCACATCACCACCAACCACATTACCCACAATTATCACCACCAACCACATCACCACCAACCACATCACCCACCACCACCACCACGAGCCACATCACCACCAACCACATCACCCACCATCACCCCCAACCACATCATCACCAACCACACCCACCACTATCACCACCAACCACATCACCACCAACCACATCACCAATCACATCATGCACCAACCACATCACCAATGACATCACCCACCAACCACATCACCACCAACCACATCACCCACCACCACCACCAACCACATCATCACCAAATCACCAACCACATTACCCACCACCACCACGACCCACCATCACCCTCAACCACATCATCACCAACCACATCACCACCAACCACATCACACCAACCACATCACCACCAACCACATCACCCACCACTATCACCACCAACCACATCGCCACCAACCACATCACCCACCATCACCACCAACCACATCACCACCAACCACATAACCACCAACCACATCACCCACCACTATCACCCCCAACCACATCACCCACCACTATCACCCCCAACCACATCACCACCAACCACATCACCCACCAACCACATCACACCAACCACATCACCCACCACTATCACCCCCAACCACATCACCCACCAACCACATCACACCAACCACATCACCCACCACTATCACCCCCAACCACATCACCACCAACCACATCACCCACCAACCACATCACCCACCACTATCACCACCAACCACACCACCAACCACATCACCCACCACTATCACCACCAACCACATCACCCACCACTATCACCCCCAACCACATCACCCACCACTATCACCCCCAACTACACACCCACCACACCCACACTATCACCCCCAACCACATCATCACCACTATCACCCCCAACCACATCACCACCAACCACATCACCCCCAACCACATCACCCACCATCATCACCAACCACATCACCCACCACTATCACCACCAACCACAACACCCACCATCACCCCCAACCACATCACCCACCACTATCACCCCCAACCACATCACCCACCACTATCACCACCAACCACATCACCCACCAACCACATCACCACCAACCACATCACCCACCACTATCACCCCCAACCACATCATCACCAACCACATCACCCATCACTATCACCACCAACCACATCACACCAACCACATCATGCCAACCACATCACCCACCACTATCAGCACCAACCACATCACACCAACCACATCACCACCAACCACATTACTACCACATCACCTACCATCATCATCACCACCAACCACATCACCTGTCACCAACCACATCATCATCACCAACCATATCACCCAGCACTATCACCACAAACCACATCACCCACCACCACCAACCACATCAACACCACCCCAACTACATCACCATCACCACCACCACACAACACCAACCACATTATCATCACCAACCACATCACCTCCACCACCATGCCCCCAACCACATCACCACTACCATTACCACCAACCACATCATCCACCACCATTACCAACCACATTCAACAACAACCACACCACCACCACCATCACCAACCACAACAACCATATCATCATCAATCACCAATCATCATCAATAACCACATCACTCGCCACCACCACCATCACTGTCACCACCACTACCACCCAGGTGGGTGCTGGGTACTGTGCCCAATCAACTTTCAGGGTCTGTGGATGGGCCTCCTCTTCACAGGGAGAGCACCCTGACTCTCCCAGCCCACAGCTGTGGGCAGCTCCAAGGCCTCTCACACACTGGCGAACTTGCCAAAAAGGTCAAGGTGATACATGAGGCACCAGGGTCAGCGGGGCCCCAGCCATAGGCCCTGTGTCAGCTCCACGGGCCCCACAGTCTCGGACCCCAACCACATCACCCACCATCATCACCAACCACATCACCACCACTATCACCACCAACCACAACACCCACCATCACCCCAACCACATCACCCACCACTATCACCCCAACCACATCACCCACCACTATCACCACCAACCACATCACCCACCAACCACATCACCACCAACCACATCACCCACCACTATCACCCCCAACCACATCATCACCAACCACATCACCCATCACTATCACCACCAACCACATCACACCAACCACATCATGCCAACCACATCACCCACCACTATCAGCACCAACCACCATCACACCAACCACATCACCACCAACCACATTACTACCACATCACCTACCATCATCGTCACCACCAACCACATCACCTGTCACCAACCACATCATCATCACCAACCATATCACCCAGCACTATCACCACAAACCACATCACCCACCACCACCAACCACATCACCCACCATCACCACCAACCACATCACCACCAACCACATAACCACCAACCACATCACCCACCACTATCACCCCCAACCACATCACCCACCACCACCACCACCAACCACATCACCACCAACCACATCACCACCACCACCACCACCCACCACCACCACCACCAACCACATCACCACCAACCACATCACCCACCACTATCATCACCAACCACATTACCCACCACTATCACCCCCAACCACATCACCACCAACCACATAACCACCAACCACATCACCCACCACTATCACCCCCAACCACATCACCCACCACTATCACCCCCAACCACATCACCACCAACCACATCACCCACCAACCACATCATCATCAATCACCAATCATCATCATAACCACATCACTCGCCACCACCACCATCACTGTCACCACCACTACCACCCAGGTGGGTGCTGGGTACTGTGCCCAATCAACTTTCAGGGTCTGTGGATGGGCCTCCTCTTCACAGGGAGAGCACCCTGACTCTCCCAGCCCACAGCTGTGGGCAGCTCCAAGGCCTCTCACACACTGGCGAACTTGCCAAAAAGGTCAAGGTGATACATGAGGCACCAGGGTCAGCGGGGCCCCAGCCATAGGCCCTGTGTCAGCTCCACGGGCCCCACAGTCTCGGCCCCTCCAGGCAGCACTGGGAGGAGCTGTTCTCTCTCCTGAGTGGGGTCTTCATCCCTCTACCCAGGCCCAATAAACTGACTTGTCAGACAGGAGTGCCCCAGTCTCAGGCGAGCAGAGGGAGAAACTGAGCCAGGGGGAAGACTGAGGGCGGGGGACAGAGGAAGGAAGGGTGGCGCTGAGGACGGATCTGCTTCTAAAATCCCTTCAGGATTCCTGGGGCTGGGCCCCGACTGGGCTGGCACAGAGCTGCGGATGGCGCTCACCTCTGGGTCAGGTGGAGGCCGCGAGAGGCTCCTTCCTGGGCACCGCCAGGATACCCCGCACTTCTCCTGGCAGCCTGAGTGTGGGAAATGGTGAGCCCCCAGCGCCCCAGGCCCCGCCCAGCCCAGCTCTCCCGGACCATCGGCCCGCCTGCATGCTTGCCTGTGGCCCCTCAGCTGTGCCCACCTCTGCCCAAGTCCAGTGGCCAAGGCCAGCCCGAGGGAGCCTCCCAGAGTTGCCATGACTATCGGCTCCTGCACACGGAGGACACAGCACACACAGATTTCTGCACACGGTGGCCCTGCTGCTCCGTGGGTGGTCTGAGGCTGTCACTGAGCGGCCCCCACTCCAGCCAGGCACCCTGGCACCTTGTCGTCTCCATCCCACGGGCAGCAAGCCTGGCCTGGGACCATTCCAGGAACCTGGGGCGGGGGGCCTGCCCCCTCGGGAAAGAGGGGTATGAGGCTGAGCGTGGGGATAGTGGGGTCTGCGGGGGCCCAGCCCGAGGTGAGTCAGGACAGCCATTCCCCTGCCCGGGAGGCAGGGGGAATTTGTGAATTTCTGATGCCTCATCCAGCCTGGCTTGGCCCTGGGAACTTCCCAGACATGAGGTGACTCAGCAGAGGCGGTGGGGCAAGGGGGGCGGCGGGGGCTGCCCTGCACGGCCCTGGCAGGCTCCTGCTGTGCTGAGCCAGTTCCCAGCCCAGGGCCCCCAAGGCCCCTTCCCCTCTCATGTGCGAACGCAGCCATGTGGACTCAAGGGGCCTCTCCCAGTCATGGCAGCAGAGGAGGGGTCTGTGAGTGCTGGTGGGGGACGTGGGCTGTGAGCTGGCCTCTGCGGCGGGTGGGCGGGTGGAGAGGAAGAGCCGGCCCAAGGGACTGTGGAGCAGGGCCAGGCCCAGGCCCAGGGCAGGGGGTGAAGGTGCCCGCGAGCCAGGGGCTTCCCGGACCACAAGGCTGGGACTGCCATGGGCCGGGGCCAGACCACAGGCCCGGCAGCCAGGGAGGGGACTCTGGGTTGGGAAGGGAAGTGCTGGCTTCCCCTGCTTGGGGACACTGGGGCATGCCTGTGGGGTGAGTGTGGGCTCCCCTCGGAGTTGGAAGCTTGCCGCTGCCTCGCCCAGGCCCGCCTCGAGTCCCCCAGGCCTTCCCACCCCCACACCCTCCTGGGGAAGTCCCTCCCGCCTTTTCCTCCTCGGGATGGTGGGAAGCAACTAAGTCCAAAAGTTGGGTCTGGAGAAGGGATTTCTCCAGGATCCTGGCCTGAGAACCCTGTACCTTGAGCTCTCCCACACCACATCAGGTGGGGGCAGGACACTCCCCGGTGTCCCACGGGGCCCTCAGTGGGCAACCAGCCTGTCTCCGGACTTGGGGGACCCTGCTGTGCTGCCTTATCTGAGCCCACTGAGGAAGGGTCCCCGGCCCCACAGTCTGGGGAATGAGAGGGAAGGGGATGGGGGCTCTAGCCTAGCCCCTCCCTGCACCTGACCAGCCTCACCAAGCTGGGGGTCCCAAAGTGCTGTCTGTGCCCAGAGTCAGGCAGGGCTGCTGATCTGGGGATCTCTTTCACTTCTTTTTCCCTTTCATTCTGGAAACGGGCCACCTGGATTGCTGTCTCCTTGTCATACAAACATTATGTCTTTGTATTTTCACCATAATAAGCTCAGGTAATAAAGCACAAGAGAGACCAGACACGGTGGCTCACGCCTGTAATCCCAGCACTTTGGGAGGCCAAGGTGGTGGATCACTTGAGGTGAGGAGTTCAAGACCACCCTGGCCAACAAGGTGAAACCCTGTCTCTACTAAAAATACAGAAATTATCCGGGCATGGTGGTGCGCACCTGTAATCCCAGCTATTTGGGAGGCTGAGGCGGGAGAATTGCTTGAATCTGGGAGGCAGGGGTTGCAGTGAGCAGAGATTGTTCCACTGCCCTCCCGCCTGGATGACAAAGTGCGACTCCGCCTCCAAGAAAAAAAAAAAATACACGAGAGGAAGCGGAGTCACCCGAGACCCCGGCCCTGAGGCCCTCGCATGAGCGTTCTGGGACCACTTCTGGGCACAGCTGCAAATACCCTTCTCCAGTATCACATGGGGTCGCATGCTGCACCCCAATTCCGTGCCCAGGCATCCTGCGTACTGAGCCTACCATGAGAGACCCTACCATCCCCCCCAAGGGACTGGGGTGGCCTCTTGCTTCTGGAAATCCTGGCTCTGGCGGCAGCTGCTGCCAGGGCATCTCACTGGCTGCTCAGCAGGCCAGCACCTCGGAGACGGGACCAGGCAGGGGAAGAGCCTCTGCCCGGCATCCCCCTTGCCCCGTGAGCAGGGGCCCTGCACACGGCTGGGGGCTCTCAGATGCTTACTCTAAAGGCGTGGATTTCTCCCCCACTGTCCTGGCCTTGGCTTGAAACTTGGAAGCAGATTCTGCAGGCCCTGCCAGGTGGTCACTACTGTGGTGACCCCTGCGAGTGTGGGGGACGGGACTGCCGGCCACCTGAGGCCCTCCCTATCCCACTCAGCTCCCGAGGAGCCCGGGAAACCCCAGGACAGAGCATCACGCCTCTACTGTCACCCCCGCCTCCCGGTGTTTGGGGATGGCACCGTGACTGGCCAGCAGAGCCGTGGGCAGACCAGGCTGCCACCTCCCCAGCCCCCCCGCCGACCAGTGGCCAACCCCAGACAGAGCCTGTGCCTCAGCTGCCTGGGAGCCGAGTGTAGCCTGGGCTCCAGCCAGGGCCAGACCGCGTGGGCCAAGGCCAGCCGGGAACCGGGCTGAGGGCTCTTTCCTCTTGGCAAAGGAAGTGCTGTGGTTACCAGCCCAGGCGGAGGCAGCTGGGGGCCAGGGAGGGGGTCTTGACCTAGACCTCCTCAGACCAAGTGCCCCATCCTGGCACTGCCTGCAGTGGCACCTCCCCTACCTGGGGCTTCAGACTCATGTGACGTAGTGCCATCATGCTCCCAAGGTCGGTCGTGGGCCCGCCATGGGGCTGGTAAGAGATGGAGCATGACCAAGTCTAAGTTGCTGGTCCAGGCCCATAGCCCCAAGTGCTCCGCTGGGGGCTGAACACGGCCTGTCCCCACCCGCGTGCATGGTCAGGGCACCCTGGCCCCACACAGAGCCTGCCTGGGGCCGCTCTGCCAGGCTTCCCATCAGCTCTCATCACAGGAGGCAGCATGAGTTTAGGATGTTCCTGGGGAAGGGACAGTAAGCGGGATGCGGTGTCAGCGGGGCCACCGAGGACTGCACACTGGCCTCCAGTCGGCTGCCCCCACTGCCCAGCCGGCCCAGGCCGGGTTTGCAGCTCTAGATCCAGACCGGGCTCTGGCCCCAGCTCCAGGGCCACCTCAGCTCTGCCCAAGATGCTGTAGAGGCCTGGCTTGGGCGGCCGGCTAGCTGAGGAAATGGTTTCGGGAGACAGCAACACCAGGAGGGCTGTGGCCACCCCCAGGTGGCTCAGGTCCTCGGGCACAGCCCCATCCCTGGGAGGCCAGTCTGACCCGGAGCCCAAGGTCCAGCCAACTAGACCAGGAGGCAGGCTGTGCCTGGACCTGCTGTCCCAGGGTGGCCCAGCAGCGGGAAGACTGGGGAACAGCTGCACAACAGCTGGGCTGGAGTCTCGGTGCCCAGTGAGCCTGGCCCCGGCCCAGGGGTGCTGTGTGGGGAGGCCGGCACACAGTAGGTGAGAGCTGGCCACATGGGCTTACAGCAGAGGTGGCCCTAAGTGGCCAGGACAGCCGATGGGAACTAGCCTGCCTCCTGCCAACCTGTCTTCCAGGCTCCTTGCCATGGATGGCTAAGAAGGGCAACACATGCTGGGCAGCCTGAGGGGTACAGAGCATGCTGGGGCCCTGGAGCCCAGGACTCCCCGGAGAGCCACTCCCTCTGTAAGGGTCGGTCCAGCAGCCGTGCCAGCAGCCCCCATCCAGGGTCCCGAGGACCCACACAGCAGAGGCTGGGCCTGGGCAATCGGATGGCCAGGTGCCCACTGTGCCCCACCCCACTCTCCTGCCAGGCTGACCCTGCTCCGCCCTGTGGCACCAGACTGAAGGCAGACGGAACAAGAGGACGGCAGGGCCCGGGAGCCGGGAGAGGCGGGCGCGGAGCCGGCAGAGCGAGCATTTGTTTTGAGTTAAGTGAGCCGCCGAGACAGCATCCTCCTTTTCTGGAAACTGTGAAATGGGTTAAGTAAAAAAAAAAAAAAAAAAGAGCCTCGTTGAGATGGCGGCAGCTCCAGAGAAGCAGCGAGGCCCTTCCCAGGCTCCCGGCTCCCGCTGCTTCCGGAAGCCCAGCTGCCGGGCTGCTGGCATGGGCCTCCCCGGCTCCGAGTCTGGCGGCTGCACCCGCCGCCTGCGTCAGCTCCCACCCCCGACCCACACCCACTCAGGCTCCCCTCTTCCCTCGGCACTGGCTTCCGCTCCACACCTTCCCCGCTCCCCACAGGGCCCGCCCAGGCGGGGGACACCAGGAGTGGCTGGGAACGGAGTGATGGGCGGTCCCAAGCACACTTCCCACGAGCCAGGCTCCCAAGGGAGCTGTGCAGGACGGGAGGGGAGGCAGGAAGGAGGAGCAGCCCCCCTGCTGGCCCTGCCCCACATTCCTCATTCCGGGAAAGCGCGGGGAGGAAGCCGCCCTGCACAGGTTCCTGCGTGGATGCAGAGGGGAGGTGCAGCCTGCTTGGAGGCAGGGGTGTAGCATCTGACCATTTGGCTGCCCAGAAAGAGGAATGAGGGACGGGGTGGGGAGACCAGGCTCTGCCTGGGGTGAGAGGCCACTCTGGGACCTCCGCCCGCACCAGGAGACCAGAAGCTGCTGTGGCAGGGGCTAGAGGCCCAGCCACATGCCACCCCAGTGTGCAGATGTGGCTGGGAGACAGGCAGGTGCATGCTGGGTGTGCAGGTGTTTGCAGGCTCAACCCCCAGATACAACCCAGTGATGCTTCCCCCACCCTGGCTGCAATCACTAGTGGTCCAGACTCGAGATGTGGGGTGCACCTCACACTTGCACACACTCACACTTGCACACACTCACACTTGCACAGAGGCAGGGGAGGGACTGTGTGTGACTCACGGGGTGTGTCTGTGCAAACCTGTCTCTGGGCATATGCACGTGACTATGGGTGTACACACAAGGTCTGACTGTGCTACATGTCTGGGATGAGTGGCTACACACACACACACACACACACACACACGTACACACACACACATGCGCGCACACACACACACGCACACACGTACACACACACGTACACACACGTACACACACACACGTCTGTGGGTGTGCGCACCTTGGCAGACTCTGTTCTCGGGCATGGGAGCCACACAGCTGGGCAAGTCCTCAAAGATGCTGCTTCCCAGGGCTCAGGCCTCCACCAGACTTATCCACTTACTGACCTGAACCTTGGCAAGGGCTCTTGGCCTCCGCTGTGCAAAAGGTGGCATTGAAGCGGCACCGGGATGAACAGCTGCCCTGGGTCGGGGCATGTCCCGGCCCACTGGTGGTAGAGGGGGGCCTCAGATCTCCATCAAGTTGCAGCTCCAGCCCCCCAGCCCACTGCTGCATGGGAACCAGACCCTGACCCGGCACAGCTGCTCAGTTCTGAGCTGCGTCTCCTGGGGCAGTGAGACCCCAGACCCTAAAGTGGCCCTTGGGAGTCTTGTAGATTCTGGCGGGCAGCCAACAGGTCACGTGGCCAGGCCCAGCTCCCCTCTGTGGTGGAGAAGCAGGACCCAATGTTTCTCGGGCTGTCCTGGAACCCTCTCCAATCTGAAGCCCTCTCCAGGGCCCGCAAACTGTCCAGATTCGGGGCGGCGCTCTGTCCCGACTGCACACCTGCTGCCACCAGATGTCCGTCTGTCCAGCACTGCTCCCTCCACACCTGGTGGACACGGGGCCCGCCCTGCTTACTGTTGCCTCTTCTGCCCCCACAGCCTGGAAGTGTCTGAGGGTGCCTTGGCCCCCTGGGGCCACCAAACCTCCCCACCACCTGTGGCTCCACGAAGGCAGCTGGACAAGTGGAGACTGAGGCGGGCACAGGGAGAAAGGAGTAACAGAGAAAAACGAGGTGCGAAAGGATGGGAAGCAGTGTGGGGGCAGCGAGGGAGGGGCTGCAGGGAAGGCCAAGAGCATGCAGCCATGGGCTCAGCCCGGGACCTGCAGCAGCCTGTGGGAGGGGCGCCCGCCCAGGAACAGGAGCACGTCACCCGGGAAGCCCCTTGGCTGGCTCAGGAGAACCTTCCAGAAGCCTGCGCTGGCCCAGAGGCAGCGTCTCTCAGGCCTTAATAGGAAAACTCTGTGGTTGCTGTGTACCCAACCCAATCAGCGTGGAAACGGCCGGGAGGTGATGATGACAGGATGGGCTCAGCCACCGACAGCCCAGAACTAATAAAAGAAAAGGAAAATCGGATATAAGTCTGGTTCTTATTAAAAGGGTAAATTTAGCCCTTTGGCTAGGGCGGGGGGGGGGCGGTGGCCGACGCTCCCCATGGCGTCCCTCCTCGGTCTCCCTCCCCTGAGAGCTCTGTGCCAAGTGACTCAGAGCAGCCATGGTGGGGACTGAGGGTGGGGCACAGGCAGGCTCCCTCTCTGCTTCTCCAATTCTTCACACCTTCTCCCATGTCTCTCACCCGCTCTCCTGGGCAGGCGGGTGGCCAGGACCTCCCCTTGCCCCTAAGACACTCTGGAGGGCTGTGGGGCGGTCGGCCAGGGGCGTGGGAATGCAACCAGGGTGGTCAGCGCCACTCCCTCGGCGCCGCCCCCCGCAGCTGGATGAGTCTCCTCGCCCCAAACTGAACGCTTCCCATCCCACCATCTTGAGACAGCCAGCTGCGGGGAGACGGACACCCCGGTGAAGATGTCAGGGGCACACGCACGCACACCCCAGCCCAGGAATCCACCCTGGCCCTCGGGTCCCTGCAGAGCAAGGGAGGCCACGTGGACACCCACCTGCCCTCCTACACTCCGGCCTCTCAACCGGAGCCCCCACCCCCTGCCCTGACCCTGGACATGTCCAGTCTAGCTGTGGACATGCAGGGGACAACACGGCAACGGATGGGGGTGCAAGGCCTCCCTGGGCACAGCAGCCATAGGATGAGCCCCGACAGAGCCGGGCTGTAGGGAGACTCTAGTGCTCTTGGCCCTGTGTCCACATAGCCATGTGGCCCTGCTGGCCAGCCTCTCCCATCCTCCAAGTGGACCAGCCACAGGCTGCGAGCGTGCTCCTAACTCCTGCCACCTGGCCCAAACAGGCGACGTCAATGACACAGGCTCCATGCCAGAGCAGCTGAAGAAAGGTGGGCGGAGGCAGGTGCAGGCTCGGGATGGCCAGGGGGGCAGGCTCTCACCCTCCTGTGTGCTCACCCATCCTTGTGGACATGTACATGTGCATACACCCATCCTCATGGACACACACACGTACATACGCGCATACACCATCCTCACGGACACACACACACGCACATACACCCATCCTCATGTACACACAAACACGCACACACCCATCCTCATGGACACACACGCACACATGCACACACCCATCCTCATGGACACACACACACACACACACCCTCAATGGACACACACACACGCACATACACCCACCCTCATGGACACACATACACGTACACACGCGCATACACCCATCCTCATGGACACACGCATAGACCCACCCTCATGGACACACACACACCCATCCTCATGGACACACACGCATACACCCACCCTCATGGACACACACATATGCACATACACCCACCCTCATGGACACACACACGTACACACACGCATACACCCACCCTCATGGACACACATACACGTACACACGCGCATACACCCACCCTCATGGACACATGCACACACGCACATACACCCATCCTCATGGACACACGCATAGACCCACCCTCATGGACACACACACACCCATCCTCATGGACACACACGCACACACGCACATACACCCATCCTCATGGACACACACGCACACATGCGCATACACCCATCCTCATGGACACACACACACGCGCATACACCCATCCTCATGGACACACGCACACGCACACATTGTTTCCCAGCCTGGCCTGCCTGGAGGTGTGAGGCCCATGGTCTCCCTGGCAGGGTGGGGCGCTCTGCCCACAGCCATCCTGGGCCGTCCTCGATGGTTCTGTGGGTAGTTGCAGCCCCCAGAGCTGGGGTCCCCGCACCCAGGTGAGAGAAACTATGGTCTGTGTCAGTCAGCTTAAGCAGGGCTGGGGGGTAGGTCAGGGAGCAGGGACAGCTTCGCACGCTGTGATCACCACATCCAGCATGGAGGTGGCTATGTTGGCCGGGAGAGCTCCACCTCCCACCGAGGGGACTCAGGTCACTCCTGCCCCTGGTGCTAAGAAGGACCAGGTGCCAAGAGCCCGACTCCCAAAACGAGGTTGGCTCAGGCTGTAGTATCCCAGGAAGGGGCTGGGGCCAGCACAGGTCACTGCAGGCTGAAAGGGCAGGGACCGGCCCCCACTAAAGTGCCATTTTCTGTTATTTCCCAGCCAACTGCTTTTGGTACAGCTGGCTCCAACCACATGGGGCCTCGCGCTCGCGTTACCCTTCCAGGGGGACGTATGCCCCCTGCCAAACTCTGTGTCTCAAGGCGTGGTTCACACCCAGCCACCTTCAAAAAGCCCAGCCTGCCCTCCTTCACAACGAAGGTCCCCCTTGGAACTCCCCTCCAGGCAGCACCCTGCTGCGACCCCAAGAGGCTGAGCACACCTGTCCCCTGCTGTGTGGCACCGAGCCAGGCATGGGCAAACCCAGGGTCCAGGAAGATGGGTGGAGGAGAGGAAGGAACCAGGAAGCTGCCAGCGGACGGGTCTCAGAGGGTGGGGGTCACACGGCCAGGTGCCCTCCTCCAGCTCCCTCGCCCGGGCCCGTCCCCAGCCCCCCGCGCAGCATCTGGTGGCCCTGGAAGAGGGGCCGGGGCGGGAAGGGCAGAGCTCCAATGGGAACCAGGGGGCAAACGTGCAGAGTGCACGGCTGCTGGCGAGGACAGTACGCCGGGGCGGGTAACAGCTGCTGGCGAGGATAGTACACCGTGGCGGGTAATGGCCAGTCGGGTGGGGATGCGACAGGCCGGGGTGGGAGACGGAGACCACACCGGGATCCAGGGAACACACAGGACTTCTCAGCGCAGCGTGGCAGCGATCAGGGGAGTGGGCACGGCTGGGCCCAGGGGGTGCCTGCCGCCTCCGCCCCCAGCCTCACCCCGTCCCGGGGCCTTGGGGTTGGGGACACGTGGTGAGGCTGTGACGAACCCCGGGGAACCTCGGTCCCTCCTGCCCCCGACGGCCACACCAGGCCCTCCCGACGGCCAGCGCTCCTGCCGCACGGACCCACGTCCTCACGACACACACGTTCATCTTATTCATCTTACTTTTCACCTCAGCCTCTGAGGTAAAAACTCGGCGTTCCTAGGAACTCTGCAGGGGAGCGGGCGAGGTGGGTGGCTCAGGCAGGGACCTCTGGGATGGGGTAGATGGGGCTGGCCGAGGGGGTTTGGGGCCCAGACGGGAGGTCCGAGGGAGAAAAGGCCCTGGTGAGGTCCGGCAGCTCCTAGTGCCCTCAGCACCCAACCCCACAGCCCGAGCTCCGCCTCTGTGGGGTCCGGGCCGTGATGCTGGCCGCCTGCATGCCCTGCCGGCCTCACGGACCACTGGGAGAACCAGCGCCCTCCTGAGCCTCTGCTGCCCAGACAAGACCTGCCCCAGAGGCCAGGGCGCCAGGCATTGGCCCTCGCTGAAGGAGGTGCCCCCACACCGTTGCCCCTGCCCCAGCACAGGTCCTGCCATGGGAGGAGCCGCTCTGCTGCCAAGGCGGACATCGAGGGGGCCACGGCTGGTCCTGGGCAGGTGGCTTGGGCTGCTGTGCGGGGGCTCCTTGGCACGGGTCAGGGCTCAGAAGGCACCCCCACAGCTTCAGAGGAGAGTCTAGAGACACGCTCAGACCACATGGATCCAGCAGGCCAGGTCCAGGGCCAGCTCCCCATCCCAAGGGCACCCAGGTGGGCTGCCAGCGTCAGCTCAAGGTGGGCTGGGGGAGCCCCCGGGGTGGCTGACGCACCTGCGGACCCCACCCAGGCAGGCAGCTGATGCAGAAACGGAAGGAGAAAGCGCTGCCCAGACCAGAGGACACAGCCGCCCCAGCACCCCATAGCGAGCCCTGCGCCCCATCCAGAGAAGGACACCTTAACCCGGCTGGTACACGAACAGTTGCTGAGTGCCCATGACAGGCCAGGGTCACGCACCCGCGCCCTGAGCCCAGCCTGGAGTGCAGGGAAGCCACAGGTGGTCCGAGCGGGCTGCCTCCCGCATGGGCCCTGGGACCTTGCTGCAGCCCCCGCGGCCTTGTGGCTGCTTCGGGGTCTGCTCACTCCACCAAGGCAGGACGTCTGGGAACGGACCTCCCACAGGTGCTGAGACGATACTGCACCTGCGTGGACAGCACTGCCCTGGCTGGGGTGGGGACGGTCCACGGGTATCCAGGGGCCCGCTGCTGCGGAGGGGACAGCCCAGAGTGGAGGCGGTGGTGTGGTGTGGGGGGAAGACAGAAGGGGGAGGAAGAGGGGTGAGGGACGAACAGGGCCAGCCTCGCCTCAGATGTCCAGGACCAGGCTGGCACGGGGGTGCAGAGGCTGAGAAGGAGCGAGGCTTCCAGTGAGCCCGGGGCTTACGCTTGGCCAAGTCACAGGGAAGGAGGCCGAGGGCATGGGGCAGAGGAAAGGCACAAACCCCCGAGGGCAGGTCTCCCCCAGCCAGCAGCGAGCGCCCGGGGGGGGCATGGTCAGCACAGGGGAGGCAGCCACAGCCACGGGTGGGGTCCCGACGGCCCACTCTGGGGTTGGGGAGCGTATGGCTGCTGTGGGGGGCCTCAGAGAAGGCCCTGATAACCCTGGACCCTGGTGTTCACCTTTATGTAATTGGCGCTTGGTGTGGGCGGGACCTGGACTCGTTTCTAGAAAGAGGATGTGGAGGAAGTGACACCCACCCACTGCCCCCGCAAGGTGAGGCCGCACCCGCACCGAGCTTCCGTCCTGCGCTCTCTCACTCTCTCCTTCCAGCCAGCAGCCGGCAACACTCCCACACCCACGACAGCCGGAGGGTGGCCTCTGGAGGGGACTCCCCACAGCTGGGTCTGGATATGTCCGAGGCCCCAGCCAACACCTGGCCCTGAGTCAGATTCCCGACTCACAGAAGCTGTGAAATAATCAATGTTCGCTGTTTTAAGCTACCCAGTTGTGAGATCATGTGGGAGAGAGCCCCAGCTACTCATGCAGGGAAGAGACAGAGCCACAGGGTGGGGCGGGGGGCGCGGACGGGGAAAGAGCCCCCGGGAAGGTACGGGAAGGGCCAGGAGGGAGAGTCGGTGACTCCAGACAGACCTGCCTCGTGCACGAGTCAGCAACGCAGGCTGAAGCGTGGTGGCTGCTCCCTGCCCTGGCCGACGGGCCCCAAGGGGTCTCTGACCCCCAGCCGCCTCCCACCTGAGGCCCTCCAGACTTAGGCACTTTGGATTTCTGCTAAGTATTTACCATCAAACTCTCAACTTGTTAGAAGGATGGCATGGCCTCACATACACTTTTTGAATTTTCTTTGATTTTATCTGTATTTACACACACTAAGGGCTTTTTAAGAGTTAGCCCAAAAATGCATTACAATTTAAGTTAATTTTGGTATTCAATTAAAATAAATTAAAAGTTTATTTTTAGGACACCCAAAGGGATATGAAAACTCTCAGAGAGGGGACTGGCTTCCAGGAAAACTGCCCACAAGGCGACCTGCTGGCCTGGAGTGACCAGGGCCCACGGCAGGGCTGGCCGGATGGGGTAGCTGTCCCACTACGGAGATCCGGAGGATCCTGGGGGACCACAGAGCTGGGCTCTTTCCTGCCACTCCACAGCCAGCTCACCGGCCAGGGACGGGGGACCTGCCATCAGGCCTCCTGGGGGTCACCAGCTGAAGCCAGAAACCAGGAGGCCACGGGGCCCTGGTCCTGCCCTAATCGTGGCCACACTTGAGTCCCTGTGCGCCTGTGTGTCTCGCTGAATGCAAATGCTTCCTGTGGCAAAGCTACCCTCGGATGCAGGGATACGATGGTAAGCGCTGAGCTGGAGGGAAGAGTGACCAGGGTGTGGAGGGGCAGGGGCCGGGGCGGTGAGGGGCTTGTCGGGAACGACCTTGCTGAGGCGTGCAGGTGTGGGTAGAGGCAAAGGCCCAGAGACCCAGGGAGGCTGGGTTGGGGCCCCCAGAGCTCAAGGACTATGCTGAGGCCTCCCTGGCAGGGTGGGCTGGGCAGAGTGGAAGGGGAGCTGCCTGGAGGGCCTCAGGTCTGGAATGCCCCAAACCTGACCACCCCACACCCTCTTCGGGTGGCCAGCAGCTCACCCGTCTTCGTGGGTGCTGGGTAGAGAGGCCTCTCAAGGAAGGAAGGAAGGAAGGAAGGAAGGAAGGAAGGAAGGAAGGAAGGAAGGAAGGAAGGCAGGCAGGCAGGCAGGCAGGCAGGCAGGCAGGCAGGCAGGGGTGGGGCTGGCTGACGACCTCAAGGACCCTGTTCCCCCCCAACCCCACCCTCCCTGATCAATTTGAATGCAGTGGAGGATGGAGCCAGCAGTGCTCCCACCCACAGGGCACCGGTGCCTCCCGTCTCTCCAGCCTCACTCTCAGGGGCCTGGGCTGACGGCACGTCCAGCTCCTGCTGCCTGTCTGGGGTCAGGGTTTGGGAGCTGCCGAGAAGGGGAGCTGCTCAACTGGGGGTGGCGAGTCCTCCTGGGGCCCCACTGGGCATGCCCAGGTGGCGCAGACCCTCGGCCTCAGCCTGGGGCAGAGACAGGACACAGGCACCTGCAGGCACGTGATGAATGGACTCACGCAGAGGACGGCTGCGGGACTGAGAACAAGGGAGCGTGACCCCAGAGAGAGGGACCCCTCAGGCCCGAGGGGAGGCGCACGGGGGCCCCAGGCCTTCACACAGACATATGGACAACAAAGACCCAGGTGCGGCTCCGAAGCCCTCCTTTCATGGGAGGGACCTAGAGAGGTCTGAGACCCGCCCTGGGGGAGCAGAGTGTTTGATGAGCGGCCATCCCCACCCCTGGACTCCGGGGAAGCATAGCCTGCTTCATTGTCCCCCAACCCCAGGCAGAGAGCCCCCACCCCCGCCCCGAGACTGGGGGGATACGGGGACATCTTTGCTCTTCCAGCTCTGTGGTCCCATCCCACATGATCTGCTGGTGTCTCCCCTGGGCCAGTCCCCCTCTGCCACTGGGAAGCTCTCTGAAGTCCCAGAGCCCAGTAGACCCGGAAGGCCACGAAGGCCCCCCAGCACCTGGGCCCCACCTGGGGGTCCAGAGCGTCTGCACTGCCCGTGGTGCCAGGACCCGTGGTGCCAGGACCCGTGGTGCCTCGACCCGTGGTGCCTCAGAGCAGGTCCACATCTGCCCATCCCAGTCACATCCAACGCCCCAGGACATGCTGGAGGGTGGGCGTCCACCTTCACACCAAAACCATGCAAGCCCCTGCACAGGTAGGGGTAAGTGGGGCAGCTGGACCCCCGTGCCAGGGCACAGGAGCCAAGGGCCCAGGTTTCCTAGTTCTACGGCCAGACTAAGGCCTCAAGGCCACAGAATCCCTCGATGGACACAGAGGAGAGGGCCTGGGCCTGAGGCATGAGGTGGGCCCTCAGGAGTCTCGCTGCCTGCTGCCCAGGGGGGAGGCCCCACCAAGGGTCCCAGGTACAGCCGCCTCCTCCCCAGGCCTCTGAGTCTCCGCCAGGGAAGGGGCGTGCACAGGCCATGTGCCTCCGGCAGCTCGTGCAGGCTCCTAGGACCCCCACAGGTGACACGGACGGCCACAGTGCTCCTGGGAGGGCACCGGGGCCACAACTGCATCCCCCAGTCCCACTCAACCCTCCAGCAGGGCAGGGCAACTGCCCATTTTAGAGGTAGGAGGCCTAGACTCAGGGAGGGAAGAGCAGGGGCCACCGATCCCCACCTTAGGCCGGGGCAGCTGCAGCCAAGGTGGCTTGGCAGGGCCCCATTACACACGCTCCCCTCAGCTCGGGCAGGCGCTGAGGCCAGGTGCTCTCCCGGGCCTGAAGACTGGAAGGCAAAACCCACAATGTGAAGGGCCTGAGGCAGCGCTGTTGCCTGGTGACATGAGTCCCAGGGCCATGGTCTCCCCCTCGCTGGCACAGCCCAGCCTGCTGGGGAGGTGCTTGCAGGGCCGGCCTGTGGATGGAGACGTCGCAGAGGGTGAGGCAGCTGATTCACACCCGGCCTTCTCCCTGGGCCCGATTTCCCTCTGGTCAGTGGCAAGGGGAGCAGGCCCTTGGGCGGGGAGAGGCAGCCCTCCCCAGGTGTCCCTCCTCACCCACTAGTGCTCTATGACCCAGATGAAGCCACTGGCTCTTGCTCCCAATCCTAGCTGCACCCCCGCGACCCCGCGTGGACAATCAGGGAGTCGCCTCACAGCCCCAGCCAGGGCCACGAGGTGAAAAGGAACTGGCCCCCACCCTGAGCCCGCTCCTGGCCCTCCAGAACCCTCCTTCACAGCTGTGGGCTGCCTCCCTCCATTCACACGCACTTCCCCCCTTCCCCAGGCCACTCAGCCGGCGCAGCTCCAGCCTTCGGGGGACAGGAGCCCCACCCCCACTTCTGTCTCCCACCACCTCGTGTGGCGCTAATCAGGAGAGGACAGCGCCATCTGCCAATCCCCTGGGCTCTGACACCCTTTAAGGTGTAGCGCACACAGCCTCAGGAGCCGCCATGACAACTGAAGATGCTACACGAAGGCCAGGGGATGCTGCCATGTCCCCCAGGCAGGTGCCCACGCAGCCTGTGGCCCCACGCCATGGTCCAGTGTGGGGGGAACACCTTGATTTTTAATAAAGAGACCAGAGACCCTGGCTGGGTCTCTCACCACTGCCACCTCCTAACTTAGTTTTCCCAGAGTTAATCGTTCATCTTTTCCGGTGTGGGGGTGAAATCCTAGGGGAAAAGCAGAGCTCTTCACACCCACACACGCGTGCCTGTGCGCGTCACCTGAGCGTGGATGGGCACTTATGCACTGGGGCAGGAGACGGAGGCCAGTGTGGCTCAGCCCAGCTCTGGGGATAGGAAGGGACAGAAGGACATTTCCACCCCCAGACTCAGGAGCCTGCAGTCTCCCAGGAAAGGTGGCTGATATCAGGGGAAAGGCACTGGCCCCAAACAAGCCAGCCAGGGGGGCTGGGCAGGGGCTGCTGCCAGGCTCTGTGGGACAGACCCAGGTGGGTGGTCAGGGCTGGGAGGTCATAGAAGGGGACAAGAAGGGCTGCAGGCCAAGAACAGCTCAGCTGGTGTGGGGCATGGAGGAAAGGAGAGGTGGGCATGGAGCAGTCGGGGACCCCTCTCCACTTAGGCAGAGTCACACGGGGGCTCTGAGAGGATGTGACGCCGGGATCAGAACTCCAGGGTGGCAGGGGCAGGCACTGGGGATTGTAGAAGCTGCCCAAGTAAAGGGCCAGGCAGGGGTAGGCCCCAGGAGGGGCAGGGCACGGTGGGCAGAGACGGTACTGAGGGCAGCTGAGAGGTGGGGGTGCAGGGTGGGAGCCTGGGGGGTGGGAGGCAGGTGGGGCCTGGGGTAGCCGAGCATCTAGGAACCTCTAGGACCCCAGGCGCAGAGGCCTGGGGTGGAGGTGGCCACACAGGACAGGAAGCAGTGCCCCATGCAGGCAGCGGCTTCCAGGACAACCAGACAGCCTCAGGGCAGGCCCGGGACCAGACCTGGCCCCGAGGCATTCGCCACGCACTGGAATTGATCTTGACGGGAATGTCCTCCTCCTGCCGAGCAAGAGCTCAGGAAAGGGCAAGGCCAAGTTCAGCTGGAGCCCGAGGACACGGTCCACAGCCACACAGGGGCAGCAGGAGGAAGGGGGCCGGGGAAGGCGCTGAAGGGAGGCTGAGCCACAGAGGGTCATGTGGATCTGGGGCTCTGCTCCCTCCTGCAGGTGGCCAGGAACCAGGAGCCAGGAGACGGAGGATGGAGCAGTTGGGGAGGACGTAGGGGGCAGACAGGTGCCCGTGCCAGTCACTAAGCAACCTGGCTTTCCCAGGGGCCACTGGAGTGGGACTCCTTGTGGGCCAGTTGTGAACAGTGTGAGTGTGTGTGTGCAGGTGAACACCTGCCTCATGGTGTGAGCACACAGGAGCAGGTGTATGTTGCCACATCTGTGAGTGTGAGCAGCTGTGAGCTTGGTCAGTGAACCTGTGGCTAGACCCCGCTGGGATATCCTTACTGGGGTCTGCAGAGTGGGCCTCACCCAAGAGGGGGCCACAGCTCTACGTCCACAGAGCCAGGAAACCCCTGCCAGGCGGCAATGTCTGTTCATGCCTGAGAGGGGACCTGCCCCACAGCGCAGCCCCTTCTCCCACCCACCATGGCACCCCCATCCTGGGCTCAGGTCTCTTGGGTCTCCGGTCTGGGCATCCCCCATCTCTTCTTCCCTGGATCTGCTCACTCTCACCCATGCCATGTGTTAAGAACAGGAGGCGCCCCTGGTTGCAGAAGTCTCAGGGGAAGAAAGCAAAGCTTCAACTGTGCTCCAAGGACCGGAGAGAGAGGGAGTCGCACTGAGACCCGACTTCCCTTGAAGACGCCAGCAGGCTGGTTTCTTTCTTACTTAATATGGCTAAGGCTTCTCTTTTTTGGTGGGGTACCCCAAGAAGGCACTGCCCCCCAATGTCACCCTCCGCTTCAGGGAGCCCAGCCTGCTGCTCAGAGGACCCTATTGGAAGCACACCCATCCCCCATTTCTGGAAATTTCCACTGGAAAACCATGTCCCTGCACTGAGCTGGGGCAAGGGGCTGCTCTGCCGTTCCTCACAGTTGCAAGTGACAGTGGGTCTCCCACAGACCCCGGAGAGGGGCAGCACTTCCGGCCAGCCTCAGAGTCCCCGCATCTCAAGACACTGGACTTTTTCTTGGGGGATCCTAGGGGAGAGAAGGGAAGGCAGGAACCCAGCCCACCTGTTTGTCCCTCCCTTCCTCGCCACAGCAGGTCAGAATGAAAAAAACCCACTTCCTGGCTGATCCGATCGGGAACCTAATCGTGTGGACAGCTGCAGCATGCCAGCCCGGCTGGCTCCCAGCTTGGGCGCTGGACGCCTCCCCACCAGACCCGAGGCTCGCTGCAAACCCCGCGCCGACCTCATAACCAGGACCTGGGCGCCGCCTGCCCCCAGCGCCTGCCACCACATCCCCTCAGCGCACACCTAGCGCCCACCATCCCTGGATTCTCCCGCGGCAGCTGCTCTGGGGCCACGGGAGGCAGTAATATTATAGATTACAACAAACAGGGGCAGCCCACTGACAAATAGGCCTGCGTGAGCGAAACGGTATATTATCCCATAAAAACGTCAGCGGGCGGAGCCCGAGCGGAGTGCGGTCCCACGCCCGAGGCCCTTCCAGGCCCCATCCTTTGCAGAAGGGCCTGGGCTGCGGGTGATTTTCCAGACACTGCACGCTGGCTCTGATGTTTTTTTTGCTTGTTACACTGTGTCTTCGGTGAGGGGAAATGAGGTCCCAGAGGTTAATGGGGACCGGGGAACCCCAGGGAAGCCGTTCCCAGGTGGGCGGGGAGCGGGGGCTGGGAGGGGGAATGCAGAGCAAGTAACCCACCTACCCAACAGACAGGGGCGTGCTCTGAGTCCAAGCCCATTCACAGCACGTCTGCGAGGTGGGGGACACAAGGGGAGGCCATCTCCCCTCAAGGAGGCTGTCCAGGAGCCAAGGGTTTCGGACCCTCCCCTGGACAGGCCAGGACGAGCCTGCCTCCCTCCTCAGGGGAACAAGGCAGTGCCTGTCTTGAGGGAGGGCTTCTTTTTGGAAACCTCTCATTCAGGATGAACCCATTAAGAAGGCAGGCAGCTTCTGTTGTTTGAGGGTGTCAGGAGGGCAAGGGGGCACCCCAAAGGCTGGGCGGTATTTTCTCGAGGGACTCCCTAGGCAGAGGCTGGCCCTGCTGCTACCCAGGAGGAGTCCCTGTATCGCTTCCACAGCAGCTGATGGGCAACCAGGCCCCTCTGAGAAGACCACTCCAAAAGAGGGCATATGCCATGTACTGAGCTCAGGGGGTTGGGGGAGACTCTCCGGTGGGGCGTTGGCCAGGACAATCACAGTAGCTGCCTCACAGGATCCAGAGGGCAGAGGACAGAGGACAGGTCCCATTTGTTATGGGCCTATATTCAGGTATTTATGGTAGGGAGGAAGCCAGACCGGGGGGCCCAGAAGCCTCTTCCAGAAGGAAGGGCAGGGGGGCACGATGGAGCAAGGCTTTCTTCCACCAGGAAAGTATTTATTCCCAGCGGCACTGGCTGAACTCTATCTGTGCTTGGGAATTCCCAGCCCAGGGACATGGACAGTCTCGGGCTCAGACCCTGGAGCTAGATCAGGGTATTCTGGGAAATATAGTCCTTTGGGAGTTAGAAGGCCCTGCCAGGATTGGGGGCGGGGGAGGCAGATTGAGTTAAGAAACAGCCAAGGAAGAGGAGGGAGTAAAGGGAGTTACCCTTACTCCAACCCCAGGGTGGATGTTTAAAACTCCTGGGAAGTGGCTATATATAAACATCTGCTGCCTCAAAAGACACCAGAGGCCGGGCACGGTGGCTCACACCTGTAATCCTAGCACTTTGGGAGGCCAAGGTGGGCAGATTGCTTGAGCTCAGGAGCTCAAGACCAGCATGGGAAACATGGTGAAACCCCGTCTCTACTAAAAATACAAAAAATTAGGGCGTGGTGGTACATGCCTGTAATCCCAGCTACTTGGGAGACTGAGGCACGACAATGGCTTGAACCAGGGAGGCAGAGGTTGCAGTGAGGCAGTGAGCCAAGATTGTGCCACTGCACTCCAGCCTGGCAGACAGAGCCAGACTGTCTCAAAAAACAAAAACAAAACAAAAACAAAAACAAAACACACCAGACGATGCTACTATTCTAGCTTCAGATCATATCCACAGTGGCTTTTCTGGTCAAGTAGTTCTGGGGACTCTTATTTTCGTGGGGAGACCTAAAAAGTCCGCAGAGAGGAGGCACCCCAACCAAACCACCCAGGATGAAAGCAGCATTCAGTGATTCCCCACGACTGTTCTCCGGTCCCTGCCTCCAGACACACAGAGAGAAGGAGAACAAAGGTGCCCGCCAGGGGACAGAGGTGCTACCTGCCACGCCTCAGCCTCCAGGAGAGACTGCAGCTGTCCCAAGCGCTCGCACATTATTTATGCTCACAGCCAGCTCTGATGACATATGTAAGTTGACAGCGAACATCCTATCAACTTGCTGGAGTGTA
The DNA here is from genome assembly GCF_000001405.40 of Homo sapiens. Classification (NCBI taxonomy): domain Eukaryota; kingdom Metazoa; phylum Chordata; class Mammalia; order Primates; family Hominidae; genus Homo; species Homo sapiens. Next base: position 59,309 of record NW_025791805.1, on the reverse strand, counting down.
TCCTGATTGTTAAAACACTCTTAAAGGTGTACAATCATTTATCAAATTAAAATAGCCGTGCCTTGCCAGTTCTTTTTCTGCCTTCCTGGATGGAACCCCCAATAGTCTCCATCCTCCTCCAGCCTCCTGGGTAATCTGCCCTTGCACCCAGGCCCTGCTTCTCAGGGGACAATGACCCTGCTGCCAGGAGCCCCAGCCTCGGCATCCCCTCCCCACTCTGGCCCAGGCCAGGGCAAGACCACTAATCGCCAAGAAGTGACAAACGCCAGAAGCCCCACCAATTAAATTTAAACTCATGCAAAGCTCAGTGGCTAGTAAATTATTATTTTTATTAGCTTGAACCAAGTTCCCGTAAGAGAGAAAGTCAACTTGCTCCCATGAATGGCTCTTGTATAATTTATTTAACTCTGTGCTCTTTGCCAAAGCCTGGAATATTTTTAGCTCGTTCTGTTGTTGGATTTGGCTTTTTTATGTGTGTTTCTGAGGGGTATTTTTAGCCTCATCCATGTTATTCTAACAGCCTCCTATGCATTTTGTCCTGTCTGTGGGGGCTGTTGAACCCTGTCTCACAGGGAGATGAGAGAAGATTTCTAAGAATAACCGGGGAACGTTTGGGGGGACGCGCGTTTTCCAGGGGAGATGTGCTATTTGCACAACGCCGTTCTCTGCCTGGCTCACTAATTTGCCTTATTACTCACGTGACCTGGATATTCCTACAGAAAGCGCGGCGGCTCCGTACCGGGATAATCAGACGTGGTGGCAGCACGAGCCCCACTGGGGGAAACCCACATTCCAAACAGGGCTTCGGCGGGGCGGGCGTGGCGGGCCACCGCCGCCGGTCCACGCGGCCCCACATTCCCGGATTCCCGTAGCTCCTTTGGGCTCGCGGCAACTTTGATGTCTAACTCTGTCACTTATGGAGCGGGACGGGTGACGTCTTCGGAAAGTAACTCTTTTCACACCTACTTAATGTTGCTAACTGTTGCAGAAACACTCCATCGTGTCATGGAGTTAATGAGGTATTTAAGAAAATGTATTTTTTTCTTTACAAAAAAATATCACATGATGAGGGAGAGGAGCCTGTGATGGGGTCTTTTCACACTAGGAAATTATCTTTTTTTTTCCTCTGCCAAGTTGGGGGTATTTTTTGGTTGTGTTTTTTGGTATTTTCTTTTTCTTTTTTTTTTTTTGAGATTGGCGGTAGGAAGCACTTTTTCAGCAGGAAAGAAGTAGTTTGCAGTTCTCCCACCAGAAGGAGCCTTCGCCTTTCTCCCACAATAACCCCAGGCTCAGAGCACCTGGTTTCCCAGGCTTCAGCAATTTACACCCCAAAGAAGACAAGAGAAGGGGCGGGAGGGGAATCTGAGCAGATTATTGAAACCAAGATGAGAAATAGTGCCTTGGTGGAGCCCTGGCCCCTGGAGAGGGGAGGCGTACAGACCAGGACAGGAGCGGGCCCAGCCAGAAGCCAGGACGGGGGGCTGTCTATGTGGGCCTCTCCCCAGGCCGGGGCTGCCTCGGATCACACACACACTCCCAGCAGAGGCGCCAGCCCCAGTGGCTCCAGGCAGTAGCACTGATGAAAAATCTTGGGTTGGTTCTTGTTGATTTCTCTTTTCTCCCCCCTAGATTTCACAGCTTTGCCTCCGGACCATCTGTATTAGAGACAAAATCTAACACTGAACTAAAAATAATGATTCCAAACATTTTAATTGCACCTTTTGGTGACAAGGTTACTGGAACAGCACTTTACCATAAAACCTGCGGCCCGAGTCTAAAGCTCCCAGCACTTTCATTTTTAGAAAAACAATGGAAGAAGCCTGGGAGCCCCATGTCCCCACCCATCAGGGCCCCTCAGACTGACATTCTGAAAGTGTTGGGTGGGGTTGGGGAAAGGCAGCCCCGGCAGCCAGCAGGAACAGCCTCAGTCCAGCCGGGGTGGCAGTGCCAGGCCAGACAGGCACAGGAAGAGCAGCCCAGCAAAAAGAGGCAGCCTCATGGAGGCCAGGGCCTCCATCCCCGATGGTTGGATTCTACTCCCAGACAGGCGGGAAGAATCCGGGTCAATTTTCCTTTCCAAGGGGCAGTCAGCAGAGGGAGGGGCGGGCTGGCTGCAGCTGTGGCCTGCGGACTGAAGCCATCCAGGAAAATGGGAAGCAAGGCAGCCAAACCAGCCATGTGGAAGTCCGCACACAAGACGCAAAAAAATTGTTTAACGTAATTATGCTTTTTTCTCTCTAAACTAGATCATATATAGACACAGACCAAAGCAAAGTGATCTGGGGTATAATTCTTTTTTTAAAAAAATACATGCAGCTAAATTTTAAAAACCAATACAATATTCTGGCTCTTAACAATTTCAAAAGGCTTTCTTTCAGCTACAGATGCTTCTAGCTGGATGTCTGCATGACCAAGTTGCCCATCACAAATGGGTTGAACATCTCCGAGCACAAGCGTTCTCTTCGGTCCGCAGGGGGGAGGAAATGGGGCCTCCAGGGACGGGGACACATGACCCTTCAGACCCTGAAAGAGGCAGCCCCGAGGGGCCTCCAGCGCCCTCTAGAGCACCCTGCGCTTGGGGAGGCTGGGAGGACCTGGGATCAAGAAGAAGCAGGGAGGACACAGGCCAGGCCAGAGCCCAGAGCCGTTTCTCACAGCCCTCCGGGGCCTACACGCCAAGAACCACGTGGCCAAACTTAGAATGAGCAAGACAAAGGGCTAGGCCACCCGACCAGGCGCCCACCTACCCGGGTGCTGCCTAGACCTGGAAGTAAGGGCAGAAGGGGGAGAATGCAGCTGGCCTGGACCTGGCCAGGATGTGAGCTGGGGCATGGGGTCAGGGAGAGTGCTGACCTGACCTGATGGGGAATTTGGCCTTGCCTCCCGGAGGGGACAGCCCCAGCCTGCCTGTGCACCAACATGCAAGCCTCAGTGTCAGGGGCCCCTGTCTCTGTCGTGCTGTTACTTGCCAGGCTGGAGGGCACGGTACAGTGGAGGTGGGGTGCACACAATCCCCCTACCCCCAGTGGGGGCCACCAGCCTTCAGCCAGAAGAGGGGCTGGTGGGGAGGCTGGCGAGCTGTCCCTTCTGCCAGGGCGGCCCCAGCCTCAGCGCCCCGTGCACCTGAGCCGGGTGGGCAGCAGCTCCCATGCAGGGGCAGGAAGACAAGCTTGATAACCACAGGGACAGCAGAAGAGATATTTTTAAATCACCCATCGCTCAGGCAAGTGCTTTTTCTCCTTCTCTTTCCAGTTACAAATCTAGAGGAGAAAAAAGAAAGGGAGAAAAAGAAGGAAGGGCAACAGAGAGAAAAGGGCAGCCTCGCCAAAGGCCCAGGCAGGGAGGGAAGCGGGTGTGGGCCAACCCGGGAAGTGCTGGGGAGACCCCTCCACTGGGCGGCTCCCCCATTCCAATCTCCTGGCGCTGCAAATGCTGGAAGCCCGTTAGCAATTAAGCAATTTCAAGTTTGTTTTTTTCTAGAAAATGTACGTTTTTCTTTGAGTGCCCTCCCTTTTTCCGACGTTTTCCTTTCTAGCCCCGTCTCTGCCATCCGTTTTAATCCACACACTAATTGTAATCCCATTAAAGCAGATATAATTTTATTAGTATTCACAGTTCATCAAGCTACCAATAATAACTGTTACTGCCAATTTTGTTTTTAAAAGCGACAAACATTTCTGATGTTTAGAACAAACTGTAAACAAAAGCCACCCATGTACCAGGGTGACCCGGCGGGTCCCTAGCGCAGCCCTGCGCGCTTCCCCCGAATCTACCCGCGCCGCCTGGTGACCTCTAGGGCTTCAGGCGTGGTAGCTGCCCCTACCCTGACCTCCCTCGACACTCATATCAAAGCCACCGGGAAGAGGGCTGCCCTGGAGGCCTGGGCCCGCTCTGCCAAGGACTGATCCTCTCGGGCAGGGAGTCAGAGGGGACCGCCCGAGAGGATCCGTCCCTGCGAGGCCCAGCACGGCGCCCCACGCTCTCCTCTTGGAGCAAATCCGCCTCGCTCTCCTCTTGGAGCAAATCCGCCGCACTCTCGCCTGCACCGAAATCCTGAGCGCCGCCCCGCGCCACCCCCAGCCCGCGCCCGCGCTGCCCTCCTCCCCGGGCCGCAGGCTGAGAGGCTGGGCCGCACTCTGGCCACGCTTTGTCCGGCTTTAGCGGGATACCAGAGGCACTCGTTAAGGCAAATGCATCCCTGCAAACCCATTCTCGCCCTGACACTTTAAGGCTTTATATAGAAACAGGATTTGCTCGTCTTACACCAGCAGTCCCTATTAACGCTCGCCCGGCGCACACACCACTCTAATCCGCGAGGCCGCGGCGTACCCTGGTCCCCTCCCCCCGCCACAACAGCCGTTTTGTTTCCGCAGAAAGCGCCTCGTTGTCCCAGCCCCGGAACGTCTTAGGGAGGTGAATGCAGAATGCAGAAAAGAGGTTTCCGTGGAATTTAGATCTGCAGGAGGGGGCGGGGGAGGGTGGCGAGGCGCGGAAAGGCTTTAATTTCAGCCGGCTCCGGGGCTGCCCCTCCGAGACCCCCGGGGGAGGGTGGCCAGGGAAGGGCCTCTCTAAGCCGCGGCGACGCAGCTTGGGGGGCTGGCGGGACGCGCGGCCCCGCTCAGCGCCCAGGCAGCCACCGCGGCCGGGGCCGGGAAATGAAACCAAAGCTTCTCTGCTCCCGGGAGCGGAGGGGTGGGCGCCCTGTTCCGCTCTCGAACGCTCCCGTCCCGCGCCCGCCCCGGCCGAGCACTGACCTGTGTGCGAAGCCATGGGCAACGGCGACGGGAAGTACTTTCCCGGCTGGAAGTGTGCGGGGGGCTGCGCGGCGGGCCCAGCCGGGGCGAGACGCGCGGCGGCAGCGGCGCTGCGGTGGCCCAGGCTCCCGCGCTCCGACAGCAGATGCGGCGGCGGCGCAAAGTCGCGGCCATCCATGCCGGGCCCCGGCCCCGGTCCGCCGCCGCTTCCTCGGAGCAGCGCGGCCGGGGCCCGGGGGCGGCTCGGCGCGCGGGCGGCGCAGAGGCGGCGGCGTCCGGGGTCACAGGCGGTGGTGGCGGCGGGGCCGGTCAGCACGCGGGAGGACTGGGCTTCTCGGCGGGCGGCCGCGCACCGAGCCAGCGGCCGCTGTGCGGGTCCATGGTCTGTGGAGGCAAAAGCAGAGGAGACACGGGTGACTGGGGGGCTCGGCTCGCCCGGGGGTCCCCGCCCCGCCCGCTCACCCACTCCCCCCACCCCCCACCCCCGCCGGCCCGAGCGAGCGGCGGCCAGGCCGGGTGGCGGGGCCGGGGCGCTCGGTGTCTCCCCGCCGCACGCGCGCGCAGCCCAGCACCCGGGGCCCCGCGCGCGCACGCACCGTCCCGGCCACGCTTGGCCCGGGGCAGCCGGGGGAACCCAGCCGCACTGCTCGCCGCCTCCCGTTCTCGTCCCCGCGGGTCCCTGCAGCTAGGGCGCCGCGGCGAAGAGGCTGCTGGCTCTGCTGGGTGATAAAAACCCAAATCTGCGAAGCCATCACGCACACTCGCACACACACACACACACACACACACTCACACGCACACCCTCTCCCCTCCCCCGCTGCCCAAAGGTGTCTCGGAGGAAAAGGCCTGGGGTCCACACTAGCTCTCCCCCTCTCCCCACCTCATGCCGAGGTCCAGCTTTTACTGCATTCCGCTTAACCGAATAACCATGCTAATTAAGCGAGTAATTTTATTGATTGTAACTCAAGAGTTTTTTTTTTTTTTAATAACCTTCCTTTTCTCCCCACTCCCATCCCCCTCATGCATCTTTCGGCCCATTCTTCTGAATCCACCGTGGTCCCCCCTCCCCAGCCCCAGCGGGACCAGCTCCTGTCCCCAGCATCGCGCTAGGACCCCAGGCCGGCTCCTCAGAGCCCCGGAGGCCCGCAACCGCCACCGGCATCACCTGGGCCGCCACGCCGCAGTGCCCGGCCTGCTGTCCCGGAGCCGGGAGCTTCCTGTTGAGGCTGTAACAATCACCCCGCCCCCCAATCAAATTCGCCCAGGATCTTCCTCTGCGGATTGGGGGCTTGGGGGTGTGTGTGGGGGGGGTGCTTTCAGAGTCAGAATGCTCTCTCTCAACGGCCCAAATCGGCCCTGGGATTTCTTCCTTCAGCGCCTGCCGGGGACCGCGAGCAGAGGCCGGTCTCCGCTCCGGGCAGTACCGGGCGGCCTGGGTACGCGGGGTCTGCGGCGCCCAGCTCGGCCCTCTAGCCGGGGAAGGTGGGCCCGGCCCAGCACAACCTTCTGCCAGCAGACCCTGCCCGGACCTCGGCCACCTAAAATAACCCTCACCTCCATTTTCTTCCACCCCCACCCAACGCGGAGCATCCACTCAGGCGAAATTGGGGACAATTTTAGACTCTGGGTGCGGAGGGTCGGAGCCAGTGATAGAAGCTGCGTGCACCACCGTGCTCCCAGGCGTCCCTCCGAAGGCGCTCCCTGGACGCACTTCACATATTACTCCTCATCTTCTAAATACGTATTGTTTTAATGTTTATCACCTCCAACAAAAGGGAGATGGATAGGCTTGATATTCCTAATTAGGAACTTTGCGGAAAACCTTGTGTTTTTGTAGCCATTCCACCATGACAACAAAGCGATTAAGATGTTTTCCATCTACTGAATACCTTTTTAAATTGCGATATTTTATGGTCCGGGTTCTAAAACGTCTTATTTGCAGACTATTTTGTGTTTGATTTAATCTATAACCGAAAACATAATGTATTAAGTGAATACATATTTGCTCAGCTGATAAGCTTTTTTAATATTTATTCGGAGAGCTTTTGCATTGTAAATAAATGGGTCTACACAAAGAGTTCTCTTTGTCTGGCAACTACATACAAAGGCGTTTGGGGCTCCCTTCCCTCTGGGGATCGCCAGCTCTCTCCCCGGGTCTAACAAATAGCTCGGCTCCCAAGCCCCGATCCCGGCCTGCAAAGCGAGCGCCCGGCCGCCAGGGCCCGGAGAGTGCTCTGGCGAGGGGGCTGCGAGCGCAGGGGTCAGGGGAGGGGCTGCCCGGGCTGGACTAGGGACGTGGGGGCCCCCAGCCCCGGCCGGCGCCTCCCGAGCCCCGGAGGGCGCCGGGCGGGACAAAGGGAAAGAAGGAAAGGGAGGGAGGTCAGAAACCTGCAGCTTCAAAGGCGCCGAAGGCCGGAGAGGGGCCGGGGGCTGCGCACGCGGGGGTGCCAGGCTTCCTGGCGGCCTCCAGGGAGTCGTGTGTGCTGTGCTTTTGTTTTGTGGTTGTTTTTTTTTTTTTTTTTCTCTCCAATAAGAAATTTCAAAGTTGAGAAAGCGCGAGCTGCCGGCGATTCTCGGGACGCGGGCTCGGCTACGAAGCAACAATTTTAATCTCCCACCCCCTGCGGGCGGATCGCAGGCCCGATTGTTCCTTTCTCACCAGCCTGCTCGACTTTTTAAGCAAACAGGAGGTGGATTACTGTCGCCTGCCTGCGCCGCCACGGCTCTGACCGGATTGGAGAGAGCTTTTCTTTGTGTTCTCTCCTCCCGGGGAGAGGCCGCGCCGCGCCTCCGCGTCTGCCCGCGCCGGGCTTCGGGGGCCTGGGGAGCCTGAGGCGGCCAGGAAGTGGGGCGAGGAAGGGCGGCCACACGGCCCGAGCTGGGAGTCCCACAGTCCCGCAGCGGCGACGCCGCCACCCGCCGAGTGCCGAGGCCCGGGGCCCACTCCCAGCCCAGCTCCAGGAGAGGCCGCGCCGGAGGACCGCGAGGACGGCGCCGCAGCGCCAGGTCGGGCTGAGGTAAGGGAGGAAATGGAGCGAAAAGTGGCGGCGGGCAGAGGGCCCCGGGCGGGCGGAGAATCGCTGACGAGGGCATTTCGGAAGGAACTGAACCTAGGAGCACAGGGCTCCCTCCCGGGAAGGCAGGGCGTGACCCTGGAGCCGCCGGTCCCTCTTGCCGCGGCCCCAGGCGTGGCTGGCGCGCTCCAGGATCTGGAGCTTCTACAAGTTTGCTTTGTTTCCTGCTTTTGCATCTAAAAACCCGCTCTCTCCTCGCCCGCCTGCCGGAGACCAGGACTCTGGCCCGTCTGCCTCCCTCCGGCGTCGTCTCCGGGAGCGCGGGCGCGGTGGGGCCTGCAGGCCGGGCTGGGACCAGGCGCGCCTTGGGGCGCGAGTGGCTCGGCCGTCGCCGCAGAACCCGCTCCCTGCGAAACAGCCGCACCCGCTCCCTGGGAGAGTCATGAGAACTGGGGTCGCGCCTGACCCCCGCGCCCGAAGAAAACCAGCCCGCGGACCCCGCCACACGGGCCGTGACCCGAGCCCCGCGCGCCGTCCCGAACGCGCGCGGTGAAAACGCCCCGCTGCGCCGGCCTTGCTCGGTCCCCCTCCTCCACCCCCACTTCTCCGGAAAAAAAAAATTCTGAATTGGGAACGAAGACCCGAAAAACTCGCCATGACCATTCCCCTCCCCGGCCCCTAGCTTCGGCCCGGAAGGCCCCTCAGGGCAGCGGCCGTGGGTACCACGACCCGGCCAGTTCCCCTCGCCGCGGACCGACCGGGCAGGGCCAACCCAGGACTGTTCCGGGGAGGGGAGCAGGGTAGGGGAGCGAATGTTGGGGTTCGTTCGTGGGTCACCCAGAACTGGGCGCACGCTGGCGGCGCCCGGACTTCGCCTACTGTCCGCCCGGTGCCACCCGCGCGGCTCGCGCCAGACGCAGCCTGGCGGTCCCTGTCCTGTCTTCGAGTATTTGTTTTTAATGCTGGGTGTCGATCGAGACAACAAGCGCTCAGAGCAAAGCAAGGATGCATTACGGGGGTAATTTTAAACCGATCGATAAGATTTTTCAGAGAAAAAAAAATCGCTCATAGTCCATATTTTTTAAGAAAAAAAAAAGCCTCAACATTTTAACGGATTTTGTTAAAAGGGAAGATATATACTTCTTAACATCACAATCCTGAATTTCTTTTGCTAAAAAAAATGTAAAACCCCAAAGCCAGAATAAAAAATAAAATAATAATAAAAATACAAAAACAAAAAAAAAATGAAAGCAATTTCAGTTACTTACTGGAGGCTGTTTCCTGGATACAACTGAATGCAATACAATTAAATCAGTAAATGTGACTTTGTTTTGTATTCCTATTGGTATTTTCAATGTGCTGACTGTTGCACTGTAAATGCACCGCTTCCACAACAACGACTCTAGCGAGCCCATCCAGAGCGGCTCTCAAACCTGCAGCCTGGCGCGGCGAGCCACGGGCCCTGCATACTAATAAGCTCGTGCCACTCAGCCCGGAACAGCCAGCGCGCTGATTGGCCGCGCAGCCCTCCACGGCCGGGAGCTCGTGCCACTCATTCGGCGTAAACAGGCCTCCCAATAGGCTGGCGCCGGGCCAGGGAACTGCCAATCAGGAAGCAGCGGGGCTACTACCAAGCCCGATGGCGCCTAATTCAAGCCCGGCGACTGCGCAGCTCCTCTGCGCAGATCATTGCTGCTGAATGGGAATGTGGTGGCGCAGGGCGGGAGAGGGAGCTGGAGCGAGCGAGTGCGCGTGTCCCGGCGGAGGGGGAGGCGTAGACACAGACACAGACACACACACACACATATATGTTTAATCCAGCAGGTCTAACGTTTGGCTTCTGCCGCACAGAAGGCCAAGGGAAGAAACACCACCACCCCTTAAAAGTAGCTGCTTTTTCTCCCTGGAATCTGTCTGGCAGGTGGCAGGTAGGCCAGACCTCCAAGCCCAGAGGCCTCCCCAGGTTGCCTGGCCCATCTACCGCTCTGAAGCTGCTGCCTGCCCGGACCCGAGCTCGCGGATGCACGCACGCACGCCCGCTGCTTGGGCAGCAAAAGCTTTGAATAGCCCGTCCGGCTCTCTCCTCCCCATGACCTGGGGATCAGACCCTGGGAAGTGAGTTCTGAGTCTCCAGCCGTCTACATTACTGGCTCTCAATTTTATCTCCCTCTGCCACACTTTGCAACAGAGCAGCTACTAAAATGAAAATCAGGGATTTATTGAGAAGACAAGGATTGCCCTTTCTTCATCTACACCTAGATTTAGAAAATATTTTCAGTTTGGTAATGGGGGAAGCGGGTATGGTGTGGTAAACCATGTATAGTATTTCTCAATGCTGCTCCCTGTCTGCCTATCTGCTAAATCCTCACTCCAACTAAAGCAAGCCACTGAACAATTTTTATCGTAATCAGATGCAAACCACTTCTAAAATATTCCGCAAACAAATATTTCTGTTAGAATTTGGTTTCCCACCCAAATGCTATTTATTCTCAGGGAGTCGAGGTGATGTCTTAGTGGCGATGGATACATTTATTTTTGCTCCTCTTTCTCCATGTGAATCTCTGCCTCCCCCTCTGGGGGAAAAAAGGATATTTAAACTAGGAGCCAACTGACAGATTCACACGCATTCGAAATTCTCCACCGTCTCATTCCGGCAGGGACACGAAAGAGTTAAACTCAAAGCCTGTTGTCTCTCTGTTTCCCCGCCCCCACTCCCGCTCCCGCGGGACCGCTGGGATTGGTTGGCACTCCGCCAGTGGACTGTCCATCACCGAGTGTAAACAAGGCGCTGATTGGCTGTTGTCCAGTCCGCACTGGGCCTCCTGAAAAAAGCAATTACTGGCTCCGCGGTTTCAAGGCGGCCCAAGGCCGCTTGATGAAAGGAGATAAGCTGGGGACCGTTTCCAGGATCCCCGCGGGCCGACCGGGGCAGCCCGGGAGCCGAGGTGCGGCGGAGAGCCCGCGGATCAAAGGAATCTGGAGAGAAAGGGGAAGCGGGCGGCCGGCCCCGGCCGGCCTTCCCCCCCGCAGGCCACGCCGACCTGGGGTGGGGGGCTGCGGGCCGCGGGCGGGGACTCCGGGATTTCCCGCCTGCCTGAGTCGGGGCCTACGCCGGCGCCCGCTTCGGGCGGCTCGGCCCGGAGGGGAGCTCCGGAGAGCCCGGGGCTCGCAGGTAAGCACCGGCGCTCCGCGGGCCGGGCCGGGGACGCAGGACAAGGCGCGGGGCCCACCCCGGCTGGCTCGGGAGTGGCGGTCGCGCGGGCCCGGCTCCCGTCTCCGGCGTCTCCCGGCTCCGGCGGCCGGGACCCCCCGCGGCCGAGCCCCTGGCCAGGCCCCAGGCCGGCGCCTTCGGAAGCGACGTCTGGCGGGCCGCGGGGCACGAGGGGGAGAGCCGGGAAGCGTAAATCCCCGAAGCGCGCGGAGATCCGATTAGCGCGCGGCTATTCATTAGGCTGGGGGCGATTGAATTAGGTCCCTGGGCGCGGTCGCCGGCTGGGGGTGTGTGGCGCCGACCCCCGGGCTCTTGCCGTGGCCTCGGGAGGCTGGAGCAGCGAGCAGCGGCCCCAGCGAGTGTGTCGGGGAAGCGGGTGCCTCCGGGTCCCGGCCCCGCGGGTGCAGGCGGAGGCTGCCCGCTTCCCGCGTACACCGAGGACGGCCGGCCCGGCTCCGGAGAAATGGCGCTTGAGAAAGGAGGGGAGGGGAAGGTTCCCGGACCCTGGGCAGGGACCCGTCGCCGGGGACCCGCGGAGCCCTCCGGGGATGGAGGAGGCGCGAGCTGGAAGCGGCGCGCGAGCCCGAGCGCGGGGCTAACACCGTGGGGCCCAGTCTCTCCTGGCTCGGGTAAGTGGACGCGCCCCGAGGCCCCGGGTCCACGCAGGGCGCCCCTCGCAGACGGCGCATTTCCTACTCTCCTAAGGAACCGAGTTCCCATCACTGCCTCCGATGAGCCTGTTTCCGGATCAGGAACCTTTTTCAAGTTAATTTTTAAAGCCTCATTTGAATTTTTTAATATAGGAAAATACGTATACGAGAAAAATCTTGGATGCAACAAAAAGAACACCGTGGCCACCCGTGGTGTCCCAGAAGTTGCTCTGAGCTCCTCGCATCAGGGCAGGTGCTCCACCTCTAACCGCCCTGTGGGGGAACGGGAGGCCCCAAGCCCCTGGGAGTCCTGGTCTCCTCTAGAGTGTGTTGGAAGGACAGCCGCTGGAAAGGCCCCTCAGAGCCCCTAAACCAGCCTCCCCTCCCCCGTGGGCAGATTGTTCGAGGGTCCTGGAGCCTGAATGATGGGCCCTCGGCTTGCCCACCCCCATCCCCAGTCATCAATCACCATTTGAGAAATGCCCACTGCCAGGGACATGGGAGGGCAGAGGGTAGCTCGCGGGTGCGTGGCCCCTATCTCCTCAAGCTGGTTTAGACCCTTCTGGCTCAGCCTCACCAGATTCCTAGGATGAGCACTGGCTTCAAATCCCCCAAGTGCTGGTCCCTTCGTGTCCCCGAAAGAGGCTGCTCGCGTGGGCAAAGGCCCCGAGGCGTCGAGTGCGCCTTCCAGGGCAGTGCGGAAGCTCCCTGCCCTCCTCCTTCCTCCCCACTTCTGCCTCCTCCTCCCCCAGTGTTCACTTGAAGCAAATTCTAGTGGGCTTTTTTTTTTTCAATACTGTTTCAAAACAGTTGTTACAGCAAATAACTGCAGACGGGTCTGCTGGACGCGGTGGAGAGGGGCTGGCAGCTGCCCAGCACAGGCGCCTGGCCGCTGGGCAGCTCCCGCAATACCAAAATAAGCTCCCGAGTTCCCCTGGAAGACTTGGGCCGCCGGGAGCTCAGGCTGGCGATCTGCTCAGAGGAAACCTCCCTACTTTCCTTTTTTACTCTTCCTGCTGTCCAGAGCTAACAAATGTTTTTAATTTCAGAGGAACATGGTGTGGGGATCTGCAGACTTGCCTTCCACTGGGGAGAGGGCCAGCGAGGGGACAGAGGGGGAGGAAAGGAGAGGGGATAATAGACCCGAGGTCAGTGTTGATGCTGGAGGGCCCAGGTCTCTGAAGTTCCTGCAGCTTTGCAGGTGAGCGGGCTGCAAGTGAGGCTAGGCCTGTGGACACCCAGTGGGGCCTGGAACAGTGCCAGGAGTGGCCTTGAACCCCACCTTGATCCCTCTCCAGCAGGATCTGGAGTCACTTCCATGGGCCTGGCATACACCACTCCAGATTTGCCCTCTGGCCTGGGGAGCAGATAACCCCCCGCCCCACATAACCAGCTGCGCTCCTACACCTAGCAGGCCGGCTCACATCACCCTTTAACGCACACTATATTCACACACACACTTGTGCACAGTCTTGAATGTGTGCCCACACATCTGCCTGCACACACTCATGTGCCCACATGTGAATCACTTGGAAGTGTACACAAAACCAAACCCACAGCACAGATGGGCAGACAGGTGAGCCTCGTGCAGCATGTGACACTCCCACATGCACAAGACATGTGTGCAGAGGCATATCACACACGCAGAAGCACTCCCGAGAACTGCCTTCTCCCTTTCAGCCTAGGGGCCCCTGTTCCCCCACAACCGGGCCCAGCCCTGGAGCCCCCTCCAGCACTCCTCTCCCACCCCCACGCTCCCCAAGAGCAGCAGATGTAGGTCTCCCGGCTCCCAAACCTCTGAGATGCTGCTCTGTCTGAAATCATCATATAAATAATCATTTTTTAATACAAGGGGGTGGGGGTGTCAGGCAAGTTCCATGAAATTGTGAATTAGCCGCTGCTCCAAATAAATGCCTGCTTCGGCCCGAGAGCAGCCGCGCTGCGCCCGCTGCGCCCCCAATAATCGTGTGTTGGGTATCTCTCCATTGTTCCCTGGGCCATTAGTCAAAGGGCAAATTAGAAACAATTTCTTGACGACAAAAATTGACTCTTAATTCTTCCCACCAGAGGCGCAGGGGGACAAGTCCAGAGGCCAGGCCTGAGGCTGGGGCTGGCGGCAGGAGGGGTAGGCGGGGTAGAGGTGGGGTAGAGGTGGGGGATCTAAGATGGTTCACAGCACAGAGACCTCCCTCAACTGGAGGGCAGCAGCAGCTCACCCCCACCCCAGAATCAGTGTTCCAGAGGACAGCTGGGGGCAGGGGGTTAGGAACAATCCCACTCCCTCCTGGAAGAGGTCCTGACCCCCCACCCCACCCATCTGCCTGTACGGGTCCCTCTGCTATCGACTGGGGCGAGTTCTTTTCATGAGGGCCTTGCCTGGTGCCTGGAGGGAACAGGGTGTGGGGGAAAGGTCTGTGTGTTCCCCCCTCACCTCCCCTGCTCAGCGGTGTGGCCTCTGGCTCTGGGGAGGATCGGGAAGCCCCAGGGTCCGTGCCTTGGAGTGGGGGGACAGCCTTTTCTCTGCCACAGCTTCTGCCTTTGGAGGCTTACCCTTCCTAGGAGCAGAACTGTTGTGGAGGGGAAGAGGACGGCGAAGGTTCCGAAGGGAAGGGGGCTGCCCCCACTGAAAACGAAGCTTCCAGTCACAGCCCCTTCATTATTTATCAGGACCCAGGGGATGAGGTGGCAGGGGAGGGGGCTGCATGGAGGGAGTGCCCTCACCCTCGTCCCCAGCGCCTGCCCCCTCCCGACCAGGCCTGGGCTGAGGCCCAGGGTAAGGGGGCTGAGGCAGGCCACAGAGGAGCAAGACTTGTCAGGGGCCAGACCTGGGTAGGAGGATTGTCCTCCAGGCACACACGGCCCCCAGCCCCCCAGCCTGTCGAACTGGGCTCTCCCAGAAGGTCCCCGGCTCCAGCCCAAGCAGGGAGCCAGGTTGGGGGTGTGGGAAGGCAGAAGTCCCAGGGATCCTGGGGGAGGCTCAGGTTGTACCTGAAGGCCACAGTCTCCTCGACAGACCTCGGACGAGGTTGTAAGTGTTTTAAAGAAACTAGAGCAGCAGAGAAGAGAGACTCAGAAGCCCGTGGCACGGCTTTCTCGGCGTCCCCTCCAGCGAGGGGGTCTCCATTGCTGCAGTTGCCGGTTTTGTCCAACCAGGTCAGGAGGCTGCCCGGCCCCCTCCCCACTCTCAAAGTTGCTTGTTAAACACAGAGTCGTAATTTGTGGCTAAATATAACTAGTGTGTTCTCACGGAAAGTATAATTCAGGGTGCTCATTGTATGAGGTTATCAACAAGACCCATCTGGGTTAAATTAAAGTGATTTTCATAAAGGGCAGAAGCGCCCCTTTGCCTGGTTTCCCCTGCCTTTTTATTAGTGACAGTGTTATTGTTGCAATTATTAGAGGGGATCAAGGAAGGTGGGAGTTGCCAGGGACCCCCAGGCTGAGGAGGGAGCCTCCCAGCCCCCCTCCACTCACCATTGTCCTGCTGCCCCTCCAGCCCCCTGGTCACTGTCACCTCTGCGGCTGGAGGGCTGGAGAAAGGCCCAGGAGCCCAGGGAACCTCCACCATGCCAGGCTGCCTTCCCTAAAGGCCGGCTCCTTCCCCCCAGGCAGCCAGTCTGGGGGTGGACCTGGAGGGGCAGGGTTCTCTGGGAATCTCTGGGCCAAGGGATGCGCTTTGGGGATCTGCTGGAATAAAGAGTAATCGGTTTTCCTTACAGGAGGTTGACCCGAAACAGCCCTCCGTCTTCCTGCCCATGAGGATGAGGACAGGAAGCCAGACCCGGGAGAGAAAGCCCAGATCAGACAGATGGGGGTTGGGAGGGCCTAGTGGCTGAAACTGCCCTGCTTGGGGACAATGCTCAGGCAGGACCAATCCAAACGAGGGCACTGCTTATGTGGTCCTTCCGGAGCATCCTCCAAGGCAGAGCCTGGCTTCGGGCCCTCCCTGCAAGGACACCTGCCTCCACTCCCTGCCAGACCAGGCCTGGCTGCAGAGGCGGAGGGGCGGCAGGGCTGCCTGTCTCCACTGTTTGGCGGTGTTTACACGTGTCGCTGTCAGGGTGTCTGGACAGTGGGGGTCGGGGGCCTCCCGGGCCCAGACTTCCCCAGGCCTATTCTCACACTGGTGAGAGGGCCCTAGGGGAAGGGTGTGGGCTGGGTGGCGGGGCCAGGCCAGCTGAGACCTACAGGACCGTGGAGCATTTAGGTCTCCCACCCAACTCCACCCGGTCCTCTGAGCATCAGTTACAGAGCCCAGGCAGCAGGAGGGCAGGGCCCAGCCCCTTATCACCCATCCTCAAGGCAGGCAGGAACCCTGAAGGCAGCTTCCACCAGGGGTTCCCTTAGCCCCCACCCTCCAAAAGCCCCAGACCCTGCCAGGCCTCACCCTGCCAGCATCGTGGCCCCAGCTGACGGCTCCCAAGGGCAGGTGCTGGCAACACAAGCAGGAGCCCTCGGGGCATCCCGCAGGGCACACACCAGGTCGCCCTGGGCTCCCCAAGCACCTCCCAGACCCAGCCCTTGGGTGGGTCCTGGCCCACAAACCCCCACGCCCTGCCCCTGAGATGAGCCCCACCGCCCACCTGCCCTCCAGCCCTGGAGACCTTTCTCCCCCTTGGCCATGGCTCCCATGGGGAGGCTGCAGGCCCTCCCTGGGCTGGACCAGAGGGGACAGACTGTCTCTCCCCTGCGACTTCTGGGGGCACTGGAGTCCTTGGCCTGGTTACCTTCAGCATTTATAGCCCTCCAGTGAGTTATTCCTCGGAGTTCTCACAGAGCAGCATGCGCCTGCGGCAAAGCCCTCACCTCCAGCCCCTGGACCACCTGACTGCTGCCTCCCGCCTGGCGCCAAACACGGCCACCGCCTCTTTTGTTAACAGGACAGTTGATCCATTAAATTAAAAATCATTCAATAGATTCATTTTTTTTTTCTGGCCTGAACAAATACGTATTCCATCTCAATTCATGAAGCATCAGTACCCGCTGCAGGGGTAATTCCCCAGGCGGGAGAGGAGTTTCGGGGAAAGTGCCCCCAAAGGGAGACTCCCCAGAAATCCCTTTCCAAGCAGCCAAGGCAGGCAGGCCAGAGGAGCCTGCCCCGGGCCAGGGCCCAGACCCACGCAGCCGCCCGCTCTCCCGGCCACTTCCGCCGGGGCCTTTCCGAGCGAAGTCCATTAGGGCCGGGTCTCTGCGCCTCCCCTACCCGGGGTCCGGGCAATACGCAGCCCCGACCACCGTCCTCGGCCCGGGGGAAGCGCAGACACACACTGGAGGCATTTTCTTCCCTCCGGAATTGATTGGTTTTTGTTTTTGTTTTAATAGCAGGACTTTTCCAAGCAAAAAGTCTCCTGAGGCGGGTGGTAAAAAAATCAAAGCCTCTACATCCAAGCCCGGAACAAAAGCCCTTTGGAAATCCCGCGGCGGGGCCGGGCGCGGGCGGATGCGGCGGGAGGGGCGGCCGAGCGCGCCCGGGACCCGCGTCGGGAGAAGCCGCGCAGCGCCTACCGCGGAGGTCGAGTCTCGGCGGCCCCACCTGCTCCGGAGTCGGCCCTGTCCCTCCGTCTGGGGAGGCGGCCGGAGGCGCCATCACCGCAAATTTATGGCCCGGGTGACGCGCTTCCTACTCCCACAGTGGGGCCCGGTGACATTAAACAGAAAATTGACGAGAGCGGAGCGAAACCGAATCCGTTTCCCTCCAGGCCCGTCCCCCTCGCTTTTCGGGGAGGGGACCAGGGACGGGAGGAAGGGCGTCCCTGAGTTTGTGCGCTCGGGAGCCCGTGCTGGAGGCTTCTCCCAGATTCCAGAGCCCAGGCAGCGTGCTGGGGGCGCGCGACCCCGCCCGGACCGCACCCCTTCGCCGGCCGCATTTCGGGCGGAACCTCGGCTCGCGTTCCACGCGCTCGGGGCGACCAGGCAGAGTGGGGCCCCGCACCCGGGTCGCTCCCGCTCGGAGGGCCCAGGCCGGATGAGGCTCCGACGCGCCCTCGGCCCTCCCTCCGCGCCCCAGCTCCGGGGAGCGCCCCGCTGCCTCCAGCACAGCGGGGGAGGGAGGACCCCGGCTGCCCAGCCCCCACCCTCGCCGCCGCGCCCCGCCCCCGGCCGGCGCAAGTGGGAGAAGAGAGCGAGTGACGAGCGGGGCGCGCCTGGGTGGCTGCCGGGGGTCGCTCCTCTGGCCTCGAGCGCCCCCTCCCTCCGCCCCCCGGCGCCTCCTGGCACCGAACCCGCCGCGCCGCCGCGTCCTTAAAAGCGCCGCCTGCTTTGCTGGCCTTTGGGCGCGCGGCAGGGAAGGTCACGCCGGGGTGGGGTCGGTGGCGCGGGGACAGCGACACTGCCGGGCGCCGGCATACCCCCTACCCCCGCCTCCGCCCCTCCGGGCACTTGCCGCCGCCCTGCAGGCCTGGGTCTTGCCGCACTTGTTCTGTCGTGCTGGGGCACACGGAGCCAAGACCAGAGCCGGCGCATGTGCTTGTCAGAGAGGAATCCAGGGAGCCCTGTGGGGGCTGCTTGGGGAAATGAGGCTGTCATCCCCGCGCCCCAGGTGCTCAACGGGGAGGATAAAGGAGCCCTGGCCTGCGGGAGGCAGCCCCAGGGGACGGACGGAGCCCTGGTTCAGAGCCCAGAGAGGGCATTGGAGGGCCAGGCCTCAGCCAACTCCATTTCTCCCCTCTCTGGCCTGCGTGGGCATCGGGGGCATGGTGGGTACCAGATCCTACCCTGCCTGCTCAACCCTCTAGACAGCCTGGGACACAGAGGGCATGGTGGCCATGCCCATTTTACAGATGAGCAGAAGGAGACTGTGAGAGCAAATAACGTGCCCTTGTTCACACTGAGGGCCTGGGTGCGTAGGCTCTGGATTCTTCTGGAAAACTAGTACTAGGGTTGGCTGACTTTTGGGCCTGGGACAACCCTAAGACTCCTGGCTGGGGCAGACATGATGCGTCCCGACTTCTGCCTTGTAGACCAGGAGCAGAACAAAATGGGCCTCATGACCAGCCATTGGGCGTCTTGGCCACAGCACCCACGGAAAGATGTGTCAGGGTCCAGCTCTTCCTGGGAAGCCCCTCCGAATGCTCCCGGCCAGCCTGTTTCTCTGGGATGAGGCCCCAGCAAGGCAGATCGCAGCCTGCAGCCGGGAGGAACTGCTAATATATGGCAAGAGTCTGGAAACCAGATTCCAAAAGGTCACGTTGGACTGGAACCAACAAGATTACGTTGAACAGGCTGGATGTGAACCTCCACTTTCAGGTTCAAAAATCAGTTGTAAAAATGCAGGCAGCTTCCCACTGAAGACTTGCTGGGCCAAGCTGCAGCTGTCTGCACCACTCAGGCAGTTCATCCACGCCCTGTCTCCCCAGCACAGGCCCTCTTGTGCATTTCCCTGAGCCCCAGCAGCTGAGCCTGCGCCCTGGGGTGGGAGTGGGGGATCCCGGGATGTCTGACCCGCTGTCTCTGATGTCAGGCCGGCTGGGGGAGGGGATGCAGCTGGAGACAGCAGAGAATGGGGTCCTTGTGCCACTGTCATCAGGCCCGGAGCTTCCATGAACACGGCTTTGTCTGCACCCATACCCCGTGGTGACCACGGGACCAGGGGATCAGTGGGCCTCTGAACAAGAGGGGCGTGCAGAGCGGCTTTTTGGCCTCAGTTAACTCTTAAATGGGTGTCAGAGGCACTGTCTTCCCCTAGCTATGCGCCTCGTGCCTGGGAGCCTTAGGGCCACACGGAAGGGTAGAAATCAGTTTCAGGTCAGGAGGTCTGGAACAGCTTTGTTAAACCCAGTTTTTTTCCTATGAAAATGGCTGCAGACACTGGGGGAGGGAGAGGGTGGCCCTGATCCCGATGACTCTGAAACATGCTTGGCCTTCCCCAGAGATTCCTGCTCCCAGCCCAGGCCCAGACGGCAACAGAAGCTCATGGTGAGTTCACCCCGGTCCTGGTCTGGCACCTCATTGCTGGGGAGGTCTCGGCAGTCCAGAGGAGGTAGCCCCCACCCTGGGCATCCATCCGCCCAGGCCCCAGCCTCCGCGGGAAGACCCAATTACAGAAGAGAGAAGTATGTGGAGACCCTTGGCTGAGGTTGGGGGTCCTGGAAGCTGGAGGTAGTGTTCCTGGGTATAGCATGATGGGTTGATGGGTGGGTTTTATTCTCTTTTTAAGGATTTTTTATATTTTTCAAATTTCCCTTTTGAAATGTATTCATTTTGCAATCAGAAAACAAAACAGGCCAGGCGTGGTGGTTCACACCTGTAATCCCAGCACTTTGGGAGGCTGAGGCGGGTGGATCACCTGAGGCCAGGAGTCCAAGACCAGCCTGGCCAACTTGGTGAAACCCCGTCTCTACTAAGAATACAAAAATTAGCCAGGCGTGGTGGTGGGCACCTGTAGCCCCAGCTACTTGGGAGGCTGAGGCACGAGAATCGCTCGAACCCAGGAGGCGGAGCTTGCAGTGAGCTGAGATCGCGCCACTGCACTCCAGCCTGGGCAACAGAGAGAGACTCTGTCTCAAAAAAAAGAAAACAAAACAAACCAGTGAACACTACTCCAAACAAATGTCCAGGCCCAGAGATCAGAGGCTGCAAGGTGGGCTCTGTCCCCATGTCCCCAGCCACACTGCTGGGGAACCCACAGGGTGCCAGGTCCCCTCAGCCCTGTCCCTGCCCCACAGGCCCCTGGAGTGATTGTAGGCTCTAGACTGCCTCAGTTTGCCCCCAGCCTCCCCTAGGTGCCCGGGGAGCCACTGGCCAGCCTCCGGTCGCACTCCACTCAGGGCTTGACGGGGAAACAGAAACCAGCCTTGAACGCCTTCCCACGCCCCAAAACGCCAGGGTGCACAGTGAGGGGAGCCCTGGTCAGATGGCACAGATGGCATTCCTGCCCGCGAGAGGCCCAGGACCCCGGGGAGCCAGAGGGGCAGGGTGCCCGCAGCGTCCAGGCAAATGGGCCCAGGCCCCCCGACACCCAGCTGAGGCCAGCTTCCCCCAGAGCGGTTTGGAGCCCTGCCCTGGAGAGGGGGCAGCTCGCCCAGCGTGGGGGTGATGCCACCAGGTGGTGAGGCTGCTGGGCAGGGCTGGACCCCCTTTTAGACTCCCCTTCCGATTTCTGTGTCCCTGAGTCTTGCCCATGCTACAGCCTAACCCTGCCGTGGCCAAGGGACAGCGGGGCAACAGTGCCCTCCCCGAGCTTGCCCTGGGACAGCCGCCTCACTCGGAGGAAGCTGGGTTTTGCCGAATTTTCTGCATGATGGGGCTCCGTGGGCTGGGGGCCACTTGCCTCCCTGCACCCGTCCCAGGACCCCAGGCTGCAAGCTGGAAACCCCATGGGGGCGAGTGGAGCCCTGGGACTCCACAGGAGAGGGTCCTCTGTGACAAGAGGCTCCAGGGGACACAGGCTTGCGAACATGGGGGCTGGGGTGGGGTCAAGGTATGAACAGCGCAGGCCTAGAAGCCTCAGACTCTGAGGGGCAGGAAAGAGTCCCCAAAACGGAATCAGAGGAGGAGCCCGGGGTGGGGGGAGGAGGAAAGGGGCGCAGTGGGCGCTGCCATCCCTCCTTGGGGCACATTTCTTCCCGCCCTGACCAAGAGGAAGGGACCCTCCTTCCTCCAGAAAGGACTTCTCCGAGCCCAGGACACACGAGGAAAGCGAGGCTCAGTCACCAGGAAGCCCTCACTCTCCGTCAAGGCCACCAAACGGGAAGAAGGGGAGCCAGGATTTGATCCCAGGCTTCCCTCCCAGCCTGCACGCTGCTGCACTACCCAACCCTGAGGACCCCAAGAACCTCTGAGAATGTGGGATTTTGGTTCTGAGCCTCCACGGGGCCCGTTGGTGGCCTCTGGTTCAGGACAACCAGAATTGGCCCAGACAGCCAAGCAGCCAAGGGGCAGGCTTTGTAGAGTGTGGGGGTCTGTCCTCCCTCATGGCCAGAAGCAGATCCCACCCCTCAAATGCAGGTGGGGTGGGGCAGGGGCTCCGGCTCCGTCATCTGGGCTCCAGTGAGGCTGCCCGCTCCTGCTCACCTGCACAGGAGGCTGAGGGTGGGGCCCTGGGGGAGGGGCTGCCCCAGGCTGTAGTGCCTGGGAGAGCTGGGGGTGGGGAGGGGACAGGCAGGGGGCAGGCAGATGGCCTTCCTGCTTGGCCCTCGCTGCCAGGTCTTGCTGCCTCCTCCTGTTGGGTGATTTAGATCATTATAGACCTGAGGTCCCACCAGGTGCATTGGCTCATGCCTGTAATCCCAGCACTTTGGGAGGCTAAGGCGGGTGTATGACCTGAGGTCAGGAGTTCGAGGCCAGCCTGGCCAACGTGGTGAAACCCCATCTCTACTAAAAATACAAAAATTAGCTGGATGTGGTGCCGCACACCTGTAATCCCAGCTACTCAGGAGGCTGAGGCAGGAGAATCGCTTGAACCTGGGAGGCGGAGGTTGCAGTGAGCTGAGATCACGCCACACCCCACAGCCTGCAGCCTGGGCGACAGAGCGAGTCTGTCTCAAAAAAAATAAAAATAAATAAATAAATAAAACTGAGGTGCAAAGTTTAAAGGTTTGGGTGACACATCAGAGGCAGACTTGGGGAAGAAGTGTCTGTCCCACCCTCCCAGACCACATCCTCTAAGGGCTTGGGCCCCGGGGATGCTGGGTGGCCCCTTGGAACTGTGAGGAGCTGACACATGGGTGGGGACCAGAGGAGGGGACGTGGAGAGCCCTGGTGAGGATGTGGGCGCTGGTGGGGACTGCCTGGTGTGTGATGGGGACAGGAACAGGCATGGAGATGGCCCACACCCGAGACAGTGGGCTCCTGGGGCCACCTCTTCTCCACACGGCGGCAGCAGGTCTAGTTCGGGCCTAACAGCCCAGCCATCCCTGAGAGCCAGCGCCGAGGGTGCAGCAGCTGCCTCCTCTCCGGGCCCACCGGACGGTCGCCGTCCTGCCAGGAGCTCCCGTGCCCATCGCCAGAGAGGGAAATGCTCCTTGGTCTCAGGAGGCAGCGGGGCCCGGGACTCACATGGACCTGGGCCCAAGTCGACCAGTTCCAGCTGGGCACACTGGGAAGGTCACCCACCTCCCGAGCCCTCCATGTCCAGGCCATTGTGGGAAAACCCTCTCCAACAGGGGAGTGAAGGGACAGGATGGAGCGGGAGCGGCGCCAAAGCACGGGGAGAACCAGAGGCCGCAGGTGAGACCCCGCCGTGGGCCATGTCCCGTCTCTTCCTCTGAGGGCAGGCGTTTCACCCGATCACCCTCCCGGCTCTCTCGGCCACCCCTGCTTGGGCTTGCTCCTGTCTGGTGTTGGGTGACCTGCCTGCTGCTCTCAGACCCCACACCCGTTTGTGGCCTCATGGCCATGAGTGGCCCCGTCCCCGACTCCACTGCAGTGGGCACAGTGGTGGCCCCCAAATGATCGGTCCACCTGGAGCCTGTGAACACGACAGGCTTATTTGGGAAAAGGGTCTTTGTCCAGAGACAAAGGCCCTTAGAAGACAGAGGTCGGGGGAGATTTGAGAGGGAGGCGACAGAGGCCACGTGAAGATGAGGCAGAGATGGGAATGACACGGCCACGTCCACGGGACACCTGGGGCCACCAAATGCCAGAAGAGGCGGGAAGAACCTCCCCTGCAGCCTGCAGAGAGAGGACAGTCCTGCCGATAGCTTGATTTTGGTTCCGGCCACCAGGACTCGGAGAAAATAGACTTCTGTTGTTTGCAGCTGCCCCATTTGTGGTCTTTTGTTGGGTGGCCCCAGACATAATCCCAGCACTGGCCTGGCCCGGCCCATGGGCAGCTGTCCCCAGCCTGGCGGAGGGTGTGGCTGTGATGTTACCCCCAGGATATCCAGTACCGCAGTCTCCATCTGAGCCGCCATCGGGCTGTGGGGTGCCTGCTAGCCTGTGGCAGAAGGACCAGGACCTGGGGGCTGGCAGGGAGCAAGAGCTGAGCGAACCAGCTGGGAGGAAGGACTGAGGCCACACCGGTGTCCGGGGGGATTCGGACGTCACCAGTGTGGAGTCTGGGGGTGTTCTGACTGACTTTAGACAGAAATTTCTTTTTCTCTCTGGAAAGGGCGGCGGTGGGCCCGTGTGCAGGGGAGCGTGGACTTGGAACTCGGGGAGCCCTGGGTTCTGCCTCATCCTCTACATCCCTGTGGGGCCACGTCCACTCACCGAGGGGTTCTTGCCGCCTTGACTGAGGGTGGCCGGGCACCAGCACCTTTGCAGCTTTGCCCAGCACCTTGGCATGGGGTCGGGGGCGGTGCAGAGTTCTGTTTTACAGGGAAGGGAACTGAGGCACAGGGAGATGACAGCTCGCCGCTGGTGCTGACCATGGGCTCACACTGCCTGGCCGCCCGTGCAGCCCCTGCCCTCCATGACGAACGTGCTCATGTTTCCTGGCTGCCCCCCGGCCCCACTCCCACCTCCCTGGCTAAACAAGGGAGATCTTGATGTGAGTTCTCCTTTTTCCTTTCTGGAAGGAATGGCAGACTCTGGACATGCTCCTAGAGATGGGAGGTCAAAATGATCAACGTTCAGGGTCCCTTCATCTCAGAGGGTCTCGAGTCACCTCATTTAAAGGTGGGAACTGGGGATCCTGGAACCTCCCCTGCACCCCAGATGCTTCTGGGGCCCTTGAGAACTTGCCCTGAGCTGTCACCTGGCCTAGACTCCCAGCCACTTTCAGGGCACAGAGAAACTGCCCTCACTCTGAAAATGTGGAGACCGGGACCCAGAGAGGTAGAGTGACTTGCCCATGGCCACACAGCCTGTGAAGGATGACCAGGTTTGGTCTCCGCCAGCTGTTCTGGCTCTGCTCCTGCAGTCAACAGCCACCACCCCTGAGGCTTGCCTGGGGCAGGGCGGGTGGGGAGTGGGGGTGGGGAGTAGTGGGAGTGGGGGGAGAGCGGGGGGGATGGGAGAGTGGGGGGAGCGGGGGAGTGGAGCGGGAGGATGGGAGGCAGCGGTGGGGGTGGGGGGAGCGGGGGGGGGAGCCAGGGGGATGGGGGCTAGTGGGGAGGATGTGAGGGGAGGCGGGGGGGGAGCGGAGGGGTGTGGGTGTGGGGAGTGGGGGGGAGCAGGGGGTGGAGGGGTAGGGAGCGGGGTGTGGGGGGAGCGGGGGGCACAGCCAGGTGCATGTTATGGGTCCAGGGCAGCGACCTAGTCCATTTGTCCTTTTCGAAGTGTGGCCTGGGACACCTCCTATCCAGCCATACGCCGCCCAGGACTGGCTCAACAGCTCCACCCTCCACTGCTGTTCACCCATGACACGTCACTTCCCACCCGCCACTGCTGGCTCACCTGTGACACCCCAGGCAGCTCAGATGCCCGGCAGGTCCTGCTGGTAAGAGGGAGGCAGGAACTTGTCCTGTCTGGGACCCGGGCATTGCTGGGCGCCGGAGGGACCTGGGACCTCAACCACGCTGGGAGCTGGCCTGTCGTACAGGCGGTGCCTGGCAGATGTGGACGGGCTCCGCAGGCTCCTGGCGGCCCACCCCTGCCTTCGTGCCATCCTTCCTGGGAGTCTCCTGGCCAAGGAGGACTCGAGGCCTGTCCCACCTGTGCCCAGGGCTCACTGTGGCTCCCTTCAGCGGGGCTCTGCTCTCTCCCCGCCTGCTTCCCCTCCAGCTCCTGGGCTCTGCCCCAGCATCCCCCCGAGCCTCTCCCATTCCTGGCCCCAGCCTGGCCAGGGATCCCAGAGGATGCCTTCACCAGCCCAGCCCCTTGCCTGGTGGATCACCACTCCTGTCTCCTGCTGCTCTGCCCCCTGCCCCGGGCCTGGGAAACCTGGGAGGACCCTGAGGGAGGGTCAGGGATGTGTGACACCAGCAGGAGGCTGACGAGTTCCCTGGCAGGAAGCACACTGCACAGGGAGCCTGCCGCCATGCTGCCACTCTCATGCCCCTGCGGGGCCGCAGAGAGGGATGCCTAGGGCGGGGTGGGCAGTGGCTGCCGTAGGGGAGGCGCTCTGGGCAGTGCTGTTCCCTGAGAAACTGCAGCCCCAAGGGGCCTGGGCAGGGCCTGGCCTGACTGAGTGGGATTGAAGGGGAGGTAGGGTGGGTGTGCCCTATGATGTAGGGCCTGCTG
Source organism: Homo sapiens (assembly GCF_000001405.40). Classification (NCBI taxonomy): domain Eukaryota; kingdom Metazoa; phylum Chordata; class Mammalia; order Primates; family Hominidae; genus Homo; species Homo sapiens. The sequence continues at coordinate 33,616 of NW_025791805.1, read as the reverse complement.
CACCCTGGGGAGGGGACCCAGTGCAGTGATGCCCAAGTTCCAGCGTTCAGACTGCCTGGGAGCCCTGAGACTCCCTGACCCAGCAGGACGCCCCATCCTGGGTGAGGGGGAGAGTGGGGTGGGCCAGAAAGCCCACCCAGACAACTGAGACCCCTCCCCACCTGCTACCCCATCTGCTTGGGCCCAGGAATAGAGGGGCCAAGGCAGACCCCTCAACATACATGCTGAACCCTGATGTGTAGCCGCCCACACACCATGAGCCCAGATTGTGGCATTCAGTATTTTTTCTGACATCAAAACAGTCTTGGCAGGGCACGGTGGCTCACACTTGTAATCCTAGTACTTTGGGAGGCCGAGGCAGGTGGATCACCTGAGGTCAGGAGTTCGAGATCAGCCTGGCCAACATGGTGAAACCCTGAAATACAAAAATTAGTCAGGCATGGTGGTGGGCGCCTGTAATCCCAGCTACTCGGGAGGCTGAGGTGGGAGAATTGCTTGAACCTGGGAAGTGGAGGCTGCAGTGAGCCGAGATCGTGCCACCTACACTCCAGCCTGGGTGACAGAGCAAACTCTCTCTTAAAAAAAAAAAAAAAAAGACCAGGGCCCGGCGTGGTGGATCATGCCTGTAATCCCAGTACTTTGGGAGGCCGAGGTGGGCGGATCACCTGAGGTCAGGAGTTTGAGACCAGCCTGACCAACATGGAGAAACCCCATCTCTACTAAAAATACAAAAAATTAGCTGGATGTTATTGCGGGCACCTGTAATCCCAGCTACTTGGGTGGCCGAGGCAGGAGAATCACTTGAACCAGGGAGGCAGAGGCTGCGGTGAGCCGAGACCACACCATTGCACTCCAGCCTGGGCAACAAGAACAAAACTCCATCTGAAAAAAAAAAAAATACTGAGCCAGTCCATGTGCATTATTTCATTTCTGGTGGACTCTTCCCGATGTTAATTTCACCTGAGATATTTATGCATGTGCTCATGTGAACACACACGTGCGTCAGCACACACTGGCCTGCTCATGCACACACCTGCAAGTGCTGCTTCCAGCCTCCTGCCACGAGGCCAGCCTGGCTCCCTCCCTGTGGAGTGGGCTCTGCCCACGGGGCAGATGGACTAAGACGAACGCTCGTTAAGCCCCCCAGAAGTTGCCTGGCTTGGCACTCTCTGCGGTATCTGAGGCGGGGCTCACTCGCCCATTTGACAGATGGAGAAACTGATGCTTAGAGATGTGGAGTGAGTGCCTGACTCCCCCAGCGCCCCCGGAATCCCCCAGCCCCACCGACTCTCCCAGATCCCCCGACTCCCCCAGCCCCCCCAACTCCCCCAGCCCCACCAGCACCTGCTCCCACCCTCCCCAAACTCAAATTGCACCCGCCCCAGCTTCAGGGCTTGGTTGGGGTTCCCTTTTCAGTCAAGGTACAACATCCAGGCGGTAAAATGCTCCCATCAGCCACTTACTGGCGCAGTGGCTCATGCCGGTAATCCAGTACTTTGGGAGGCCAAGGCGGGCAGATCACAAGGTCAGGAGTTCAAGACCAGCCTGGCCAATATGGTGAAAAAAATTAGCTGGCCGTGGTGGCACATGCCCGTAATCCCAGCTAGTCAGGAGGCTGAGGCAGGAGAATTGCTTGAACCCAGGAGGCGGAGGTTGCAGTGAGCCGAGATTGTGCCACTGCACTCCAGCCTGGGTGACAGAGCAAGACTCCATCTCAAAAATAAATAAATAAATAAATAAATGCTCCCATCTTTGGGCTGCAGCTCAACGCGTTCTCACCCATGAGATTCTCGTGCAGCCCTTGGGTCTTCAACCGGCACTCCAAGCCCTGACCAGGGTCCGCTGCTGAGGCCCACCTGGCAGCTTCGCCTTCCTCAGGCCTTGGTCCTATCTTGCTGCTTGAGTTCGGCGTCATGCCTGGGAGATTCATCCGAGTTGCCACGTGCATCAGTGGCTCCTCTTTGTTGCTGAATTATATTCCGTTGTAGGAATAAACCACGCACGCTGACCCAGCCTCCCACTGATGGACATTTGGGTTATTTCTGGTTTGGGGCTTGTTGAATGGTGGCACCCAAAATATGTGTCCACCCAGATCCTATGAAAGGGAACTTCTTCGGAAAAATAATCTTTGTAAATGTCATTAATTAATGACATTTAATTACAGACTGTTATTTATTTATTTATTCTTTTTTTGGAGACAGAGTCTCACTCTGTTGCCCAGGCTGGAGTGCAGTGGCGCGATCTCAGCACACTGCAAACTCTGCCTCCTGGGTTCAAACGATTCTCCTGCCTCAGGCTCCCAAGTAGCTGGAACTACAGGCATGCACCACCATGCCAGGCTAATTTTTGCATTTTTAGTAGAGACGGGGTTTTACCATGTTGGCCAGGCTGGTCGTGAACTCTTGGTCTCAGGTGACATTTACAAATTAATTAATGACATTTACAAAGATTATCTTGGAGTTGGGTGGGTCCTAAATCCAACGACAGGTGTCCTTAGAAGAGCGAGGTGGAGGGAGACTAGACACAGATACCCGGGGGGCATTGCTGCTGTCCCCAGAAGCTGGGGAGAGGTGCCGGAAGGATTTTCCCTCAGAGCCTTCAGAAGGAGCCAATCCTGCCCACGCCTTGATTCCAGGCCTTGGCTTTACAGACTGTGAGAGAATGCAATGGTGTTGCTTTAGGCCACCTGACTGGGGAACTTTGTTACGGCATCCCTAAAGAAACACACAAGGGCTGTGATGAGGAACTCTGCTCGGCAGGTTCCTGTTTGTGTCCCTTGGTCACAGAAGCCCTTCTCCGTCTCAGGTGTGTGTTAGCCGGGGTCTCCAAAGAACCAGAGCCAGCAGGGGACACACCCATCTCTGTATCTGGAGAAAAAGATCGATGAGAAGGAATCTGCTCCTGTGATGATGGAGGCTGACAAGTCCCGAGAGCCACGGTTGGCACCCTGGAGACCCCTGAGGGTGATACCACCACTCCAGGCTGAAAGCTGGCAGGCTTGAGACCCTGGGAGAGCTGGCCCTCTGACTCCTGGGACTTCTTATTCTATCCTAGTATTTCCTCAGCTGAGTGCATGGGGCCAGACCACACTGGGGAGGGCAGTCAGCGTCACTCAGAGCACCGGGTCATCTCATGCAGAAACACCCTCAAAGAAATAGCCCAAATTATGCTGACCAAATATCTGGGCACCCCGTGCCCCAGACAAGTTGACACAGAAAATTAACCATCACAGGTTAACTCCATCCAGGAGTGGAATTGCTGGGTCATAGAGAAGGCATAGGAATTCACAGAAATCACCAAACGGTTTTCAGGCGGTTGTGCCATGTTAAACTCCCACTGGAAAGAGAGGAGAGCTGTGATTGTTCCACGTCCTCAGCAACGTTTAGAATAGGCAGTCTTTGGCCGGGCCGGGCACAGAGGCTCAAACCTGTAACCCCAGCACTTTGGGAGGCCATAGTGGGTGGATTACCTGAGATCAAGAGTTCAAGACCAGCCTGGCCAACATGGTTAAACCCCGTCTCTATTAAAAATGCAAAAATTAGCCAGGCGTGGTGGTGCGTGCCTGTAATTCCAGCTACTTGGGGGCTGAGGCAGGAGAATCGTTTGAACCCAGGAGGCAGAGTTTGCAGCGAGCCGAGATCGCGCCACTGCACTCCAGCCTGGGCAACAGAATGAGACTCTGTCTCCAAAAAAAGAAAAAATAAATAAAGAAAAGTCATTCTGTAGTTTTAGCCTTTGTGAAGGCATGAAGTGGCATCTCATTATGGTTTAAATGCTTATTTCGCTGGTGACTAATGAGGCTGACCAGTTTTTCACTGCATTTAGCCCTTTCAATGCACTTCAGGTCTGTGAAGTACTTGTTCAAGTGTATTGCCCATTTTAAAAATTGGTTTGTTTATCTTTTTCTTATCAATTTGTAGGAGTTCTTGATATATTCTGGGCAGAAGGCCTTGGTGTAGAATCTATTAAGACACACCGAGGCGAACGGTACATTTGTCTGCAACTTACCTTTTGACTCTCTTGATGGTGTCTCAAAGTTGTTGATTTTAAGGAAGCCCAGTCTTTTATGTCGAGTCCCTTTGTGTTCTATGTTAGAAATCTTTGCTGACCACAGTGTCTTCTTCTTTTTCTTTTGAGACGGAGTCTCGCTTTGTCGCCCAGGCTGGAGTGCAGTGGCGCCATTTCAGCTCACTGCAACCTCCGCCTCCCAGGTTCAGGTGATTCTCCTGCCTCAGCCTCCCGAGTAGCTGGGATTACAGGCATGCGCCACCATACCCAGCTAATTTTTATATTTTTAGTAGAGACAGGGTTTCACCATGTTGGCCAGGCTGGTCTCAAACTCCTGACCTCAGGTGATCCGCCCACCTCGGCCTCCCAAAGTGCTGGGATGACAGGTGTGAGCCACTGTGCCTGGCCTGACCACAGTGTCTTGAAGAGATTTTGCTATGTTTTATTCTAGAAGCTTTGGGGCTTATTTTTCACACTTTGTTCTATGACTTATTTCATTTATTAGTATTATTTTTTGAGACAGAGTCTCCCTCTGTCACCCAGGCTGGAGTGCGGTGGTGCAATTTCAGCTCACTGCACCCTCTGCCTCCTGGGTTCAAACAATTCTTGTGCTTCAGCCTCCCGAGTAGCTGGGATTACAGGAGTGTGCCACCACGCCCGGCTAAGTTATGTATTTTTAGTAGAGACAGGGTGTCACCATGTTGGCCAGGCTGGTCTTGAACTCCTGGCCTGAAGTGATCCGCCCGCCTCAGCCTCCCAAAGTGCTGGGATTACAGGTGTGAGCCACCGTGCCCAGCCTGCTCTGTGACTCATTTTAAATTAATTGTGGGGATGGGGTCACTTTTTTCTGTCAGTGTCCAACTGATACTGGACACGTGGCAGGGAAAGGCCACCTCTTCCCCCTGCTCTGCAGGGGCCTTTGTTATAAATCGGCGTGGGGAAGGGGCCGCTTTCTGGACCCGCCCTTGGGTCCAGGGTCTCTTTGCTTATTCCTGCGCCAATCATGCAGGCCCCATACCGCTGTCAGCGCACGGGCTGGCTTCAGCAGAGGAGGCTCAGGGCCGGGCTGTGGGGCCTGGAGAGCTCATCTTGGTCTCTTGGGCCCCTAGGTCGGCTTGCTTGTCCTGACCATGGAGCACAGCTTCCTTGACAGCAGCCTCTGCAGTCATCCCAGGCCGACAGGCAGGCCTCGGCGCTCCAGACAGGGGCCCAGCCCGGGGCCAGTCTCCAAGTACCCTGTGGATGAGGAAGGAAGCAGCTCTCAGGGAAGGGGCACCCCATGGGTCAGCTGGCCGCCTGGTTCAGTCACCACATGGGCACACAGGGCCAGCATGGGTGCACAGGAGCTGGGACACGCCAAGCGCTGGCGCCTGCGTTGTTGAGGGTGCGCATAGCGGCTCGAGGGGCTGCAGTGTTCAACGGGGCAGCCAAGGTGACCTTGGAGTACAGTACTGCGGGCGAGGAGGAGGCATACAGCTGGGGGCATTTCTTTTTCTTTTCTTTTCTTTTTTTTTTTTTTGAGACGGAGTCTCTCTCTGTTGCCCAGGCTGGAGTGCAGTGGCGCAATCTCGGCTCACTGCAACCTCCGCCTCCCAGGTTCAGGCAATTCTCCTGCCTCAGCTTCCTGAGTAGCTGGGATTACAGGCGCCAGCCACCACGCCCAGCTAATTTTTGCATTTTTATTAGAGACGGGGTTTCACCGTGTTAGCCAGGATGGTCTCTATCTCCTGACCTCGTGATCCACCTACTTCAGCCTCCCAAAGTGCTGGGATTACAGGTGTGAGCCACCGCGCCCTGACTGGGGGGCATTTCTGACTGGGAGACTGTCAGGTACAAAGGCCCTGGGGCTTCCAGGAAGGAAAGGAGGCCACTGGGCCTTCAGTGGGGGCAGGAAATGGGGAGGGGAGGAGAGATGGGGTCAGAGGGTTCGAGCCAGTGGCTGGATTCCAGAGGTCCTGGAAGGCCGAGGGGAAGACTTTGGCTCTGGGACTGTGCCTTGGGGGGCCCGTGGAGGGCTTGGAGCCTGGGCTGCTTGCAGGGAGGGAACCAGAGGAGGTCCAAGTGGAGGGGATGCAGGGCCAGGGAGGAGGTGCTGGGTTGGGGAGGGAGCCGAGTGGCTGGGAAGGCCCGAGCTGGACATTGCCTGAATTTTGAAGACGCCCAGGATCTGTTGTGCGTGTTCTTGTGGGTGTGGGGAGCAAAGCCACATAGGAACACAGCCACAGGCCTGTACTCCTGGGGTGGGGGGGCCCCTCAATGAGATGGGTGCCAGAGGGCCAGCAGGTTCCACTGCAACTCAGGGCTCTGCGTGGCCATCTGCTGGGCTCAAGGAGGTCAGGCGGCCGGTTCGAGCAGGAGCATGTGAGGGACGCCTACTCGGCTTGGAGATGTGGACTCCGGAGCCTGCCGCAGAGCATGGAATGGGAAACTGGCGTGGGTGAGGTCATCTCAGGGACGCTGGGGACAGGATGGAGCTTCAGGAGGGAGGAGGGGCCGGGAAGCGGAGACCAGAGACACAGGAGTGCCTCCTGGAAGCCTCAAGAAGGGAGGTCCCACCAGGAAGGAGTCGTCCCTGGGTTGACTAAGAGGAGGCCGAGCAGTGTCCCTTGGAGCTGACACCGTGGAGGCCACGTGACCTGCACAGGCCCTGGTCCCCCCCACACTCAGGCTAAGTGCCCAGGCACAGGCCGGATCCCTCCCAGCCCGTGTGTGGCCACAGCCTCAGGGCCCCTTGCTGGAACAGCCTGTTCCCCCAGCCCCAGCCTCCAGAGAGTTTAGGGAACCCCCACCCTGTGCCTTCTGGGCCCATGGGCATTCCTGGCGGGTGGATCCCCTGAGGCCTCCCAGCCTGCACTGGAGGAGCCCTGCCCCATCCCGCTCCTGGGAGACCCCCCCCAAGCACCGACCCTGGGAGCAGAGAGTCCCCCTCACCCTGTGCCTCCCCAGGACACACACATAGCTGGGTCTGGGCCTTGGTGTCCTTGACTGTGCAACAGATGGCCACAGACTGGGCGCTTCAATGGCAGGAAGCTCTTTTCTTATGGATTGAGAGGCCAGAAGCTGGCCACCGACGTGCGGTGGTGTGGATCCTTCTGGAGGCTCTGCGGGGAGGCCTGTCGAGGCCTCTGTCCCAGCTTCAGGTGGTCTCCAATCTCTGCCTCACTCTTTTTTTGTATACATATTCTTTCTAAAATTGTATATTGTCAGGTGCGAAACTGAATGAAGTATTTCAGTAACTTGCCTGGTAACAAGACCCAGGTTTGAATTTGTCCATTTGACTTCATATATTCAAATGCCCTGCAAGCAAGCTAGCACTTACCCTCGAAATCAGCACCATTTTCAATTTTTCCTTTTTTTGGTGGGTGAGTGTTCTTCTCACTAGGAGTTGACAGATGAAAGCTGCCGGCGGGCGGTGCGGTCCCTCACTGTATACACGCCCCATAACTTCAGGCTCCTAAAATTTTATCTGGTTATTTTTTGAATTGTGGTTATATATATAATCTACCATTTTAACAATTTTTAAGTGCACGGCTCATTGGCATTGGGACTGTCTCAGTGTCTTTTTTTTTTTTTTTTTTGAGACGGAGCCTTGCTCTGTCACCCAGGCTGGAGTGCAGTGGCACGATCTCGGCTCACTGCAATCTCCGCCTGCAGGGTTCAAGTGATTCTCCTGCCTCAGCCCCCTGAATAACTGGGAGTGCAGGTGCACACCACCATGCCCAGCTAATTTTTGTATTTTTAGTAGAGACGGGGTTTCACCATGTTGGCCAGGATGGTCTCAATCTCTTGACCTCGTGATCCGCCCGCCTCAGCCTCCCAAAGTGCTGGGATTTACAGGTGTGATCCACCGCGCCCGTCCTCAGTGTCTCACTCTTAGAAGGACACCAGGCACTGGATTAGGGCCCACTCTACTCCAGTCTGACTTCATCTTAGCTTGATTATAGCTGCAAAGACCATATTTCTTTTTCTTTCTTTCTTTCTTTTTTTTTTTTTTTTTGAGGTGGAGTTTTGCTCTTGTTGCCCAGGCTGGAGTGCAATGGCGTGATCTCAGCTCACCGCAACCTCTGCCTCCTGGGTTCAAGTGATTCTCCTGCCTCAGCCCGAGTAGCTGGGATTACAGGCATGCGCCACCACGCCCAGCTAATTTTTTGTATTTTTAGTAGAGAGGGGGTTTCTCCATGTCGGTCCAGCTGGTCTCAGACTCCCAACCTCAGGTGATCCGCCGGTCTCAGCCTCCCAAAGTGCTGGGATTACAGGCGTGAGCCACCACGCCCGGCTGACCCTATTTCTAGATAAGGTCACATTCACAGATATGAGGGCACCAGGACTTGGACATATTTGGGGGGCACAATTCCACCTTCTGAGTCAGGCTGGAGTGAAGGGGATGGATGACACTCTGGGCCGGTTCCTGACTCTGGCAGGCAGCGACGTCAATTATGATATCACAAACTCTCAAAGTCCATTTCAGGAAGGGCTGCCTGCTTCTGGCAGAGATGGCTGGCTTAGCCCTGTCCCCCGCACCCCTGCCCCCTAGGCCAGCACCACCTCTCCTTCCTCTTCCCCTAGGACCTGGCTGCCTCTAGCATGTGCCTGACCCCATAGGGCACTGCAGTTTCCATCCAGATGTGTCTGTCCCTGGCTCCAGTAGGTTCCCGGGCACCCTGAGGATTTTTTTTTTTTTTTTTCAGATAGAGTCTCGCTCTGTCACCAGACTGGAGTGCAGTGGCACAATCTCGGCTCACCACAACCTCCGCTTCCCGGGTTTAAGTGATTCTCCTGCTCAGCCTCCCGAGTAGCTGGGATTACAGGTATGTGCCACCATCCCCGGCTAATTTTTGTATTTTTAGTAGAGACGGGGTTTCACCATGTTGGCCAGGCTGGTCTTGAACTCCTGACCTCAGGTGATCTACCCACCTTGGCCTCCCAAAGTGCTGGGATTACAGGCATGAGCCACCGCGCCTGGCCAACCCTGAGGATCTTTGCTCTGGGACCCAGCCTTGAGAGGGTTTGTTTTGAAGGAGAAGGTTTAGAAAACAGGAGAGGAGCCTTGAGGAAAAGAAAGGGTAAGAGGCTTGAGGGTCGGAGGCCAGGCAGGCTCTGGGGTGTCAGGGACCAGGGGCCCAGGAACTGAGGCTCAGCGACTTCCCCAGGTATCTAGAGCGAGGCTCCCCAGGAGCAGGGCTAGAGGCTCTGTCTGCAACAGGTCCCGGGACCCCACAGGAAACCACCTTCTCCCAGATCTGCCTGTGCCCTTGGGTGACCAGGTAGCTCCCGGCCCTGCTGAGCCTCATTTGAAAATCAGACTTGGCCAGGAGGGGTGGCTCACGCCTGTTATCCCAGCACTGTGGAGGCCAAAGCAGGCAGATCATGAGGTCAGGAGTTCAAGACCAGCCTGGCCAAGATGGTGAAACCCTGTCTCTACTAAAAATACAAAAATTAGCCAGGCGTGGTGGCAGGTGCCTGTAGTCCCAGCTACTCAGGAGGCTGAGGCAGAAGAATCACCTGAACCTGGGTGGTGGAAGTTGTGGTGAGCTGAGATCGCCATTGCACTCCAGCCTGGGCGACAGAGTGAGACTGTCTCAAAAAAAAAAAGAAAATCAGACTAAGCCGGGCACGGTGGCACATGCCTGTAATCCCAGCATTTTGAGAGACCGAGGCAGGAGGATTGCTTGAGCTTAGAAGTTCAAGACCAGCTTGGGCAATGTAATGCCCCCATCTCTACAAAATAAAAACAAAAAATTATCTGAGTGTGGTGGCACGTACCTGTAGTTCCAGCTATTCCAGAGGCTGAGGCGGGAGGACCGCTTGAGCCCAGGAGGTTGAGGCAGCATTAAACGCTGATCTCACCATAGCAGTCCAGCCTGGACAACAGAGTGAGACCCTATCTCAAAAAAACAAAGAAAGAAGAAAATTGGACTCACATGAGTCTCTCTCAGGGGGTGCCTGGGAGAATGAGGGGGTCATCGGTGCCCAGCAGTGACCGGGAGCAGGGCCAGCCATGAGGAGGCACTGGCGGCCACCACGCCAGGGTCAAAGAAGGGCTCACTGAGGTCCACCAGGCCCATGCTGGGGACCACAAGACACACCCTCTGGGCATTTCTCTTGTGTTTTGTGTGTCCTCGCCAAGTCGGCCGAGGGACCCCCATCTGGATGCGAGCTCCTCGACGGCCCGTTTCTCTGGAGCCTTCTCATCCGGCCCCCCAGGGTTTCTGTGAAGGCAGATCATGGCCGGGAAGCTCCAGAGCAAGGCTGTGCATGTGAAGAGCCAGCCCAGAAAGGGCTCACAGCTGCCCCAGGACCTCCAAGCCTCCTGGTCTCCCCAGAGAAGGCCTGGGGGCGCGAGGGACCTTGGGCTCTGGCGAGGGTCCTCTGCCACCCCTCTGTACCCTGCCTCCCCGCTAAGGCTGCCATGGGCCCACTGGGCACAGAGAGCAGAGCTGCCCCTGGACCTTGGGGCTCTGTGCTCCCTGTCCACCCCCAGCAGGGCACCGGTGCATCACAGAGCTCCAGCCTGAGCCTGCGTCCAACATGGAGAAGGAAGTCCCAGAGCCTTGGTCGGTGGGACCCAGGGCCCACCCTTCCTGCACCACCTCGTTCTGCAGACCTACACACTGGGACACCATCACGAGCCCTGAACTCCAGAGCAGACCCAGCAGGGCCGGGAGCGCAGAGCCTGGACAGCGGCCACCTGGTTCTCCCGATGCTGCTCAGTGAAGGCAGCAGCAGGACCAGATCAGTCCCACCTGAGAACGGCCACCGGGGCCGTCTGTTGAAAGGTGGCTTGGACGGGCGTGGTGGCTCACGCCTGTAATCCCAGCACTTTGGGAGGCCAAGGAGGGTGGATCACTTGAGGTCAGGAGTTGGAGACTAGCCTGGGCCAACATGGTGAAACCCCATCTCTACTAAAAATACAAAAATTAGCCAGGCGTGGTGGTGCACGCCTGTAATCCCAGCTACTAGGAAGGCTGAGGCAGGAGAATTGCTTAAACCCGGGAGGCGAGATCGCGCCGCTGCACTCCATCCAGTCTGGGTGACAGAGCGAGATTCCATCTCCAAAAAAAAAAAAAAAAAAGGAGGCTGGGCACGGGGGCTCACGCCTGTAATCCCAGCACTTTGGGAGGCTGAGGCGGGCAGATCATGAGGTGAGGAGATGGAGACCATCCTGGCCAACACGGTGAAACCCCGTCTCTACTAAAAATAGAAAAAATTAGCCAGGCGTGGTGGCGGGCGCCTGTAGTCCCAGCTACTCAGGAGGTTGAGGCAGGAGAATGGCATGAACCTGGGAGGCGGAGCTTGCAGGGAGCTGAGATCGCACCACTGCACTCCAGCCTGGGTGACAGAGTGAGAGTCCGTCTCAAAAAAAAAAAAAAGAAAGAAAGAAAGGTGAGCCCTGGGCTGTCCTGCTAGGTAATCCCACCAGCCCTGAGGCAGCCACCATGATGCTGCTGTCCAAATGAGCACCAGAGGTCCCTCGTCCAAGGCCCCCCAGCTGTGGACAGAGCCCAGGCAGCCTGACTCAAACACTGCACCTGCTGGCTTTGGGGTTGCCACGTGGGAAAGTGCCACACGAGGTGGGCGGGGCCTCCCCAGGGGTGCAGTCTGGGACCAATGGCCTGGCCGGCTGGTCTCTGCATGGTCCACGCGCTCGGCTGCACTTGGTTCTGAGGTCTCAAATACACATCGATGCCTCAGTGGTGGTTTCCACCACCTTCCTTCTTACCACCACCCGCTCCTCGTTGTGGGCCCTGGACTCGAGGCCAGTTGGGGAAGCCTGGGCTTGGGGAAAGGGGCATTGTGGGGGTGTCTAGGTGTCCTAGCGTCCAGATGTCCAGGCTCCAAGTGTTCAGACGCCTGGGTTCCCAGGTGTCCAGACGTCCAGGTCCTGCTTGGACTGTCACCTCCTTCCGGGACATAGACCCTGCATTCATAGAGTGGGGGCCCCATGAACCTCCAGCTTCTGATTGACATCTAATTTCCAGATGAGGTCATCCTGAACTTAGGCTGGGCCCTAAATCCGATGACACTTAGGCATCGGAGAAAGGGAAAGCCAGAGGATGACTGAGACCCAGAGCGGAGAAGGCGCGTGGAGGTGGAGGCAGAGGCTGGAGCCATGCGGGGCTGCAAGTCCAGGAGCACCTGTGGCCCCCAGAAGCTGGAAGAGACCAGGAAGGATTCCCCCAACCCCGCCTCCCCGGGCGCCTCCAGAGGGAACACGGCCCTCAGGCACCTTGATTCTGGACTTGCGGCCTCCAGGCCTGTGAGAGAATGGAATTTTGTTGTTTTACATGAACAACTTTGTAGAAATTTGTGACAGCAGTTTAGGAAGGTAAAACAACACTGCTTTTACACCTCAAAGGCATAGAAGGTTATACAGTGCAGGGACCCTCCAGGCACCATTCCCCTCCCATCTGGTTTTAGCAAAGTCCCACACACAGCATGGGGGTGGCACCTCACCTTTGTCCCGGAGCAGCACCTAGAAAGTCTTTAACCACTTGTCCACGTAATCTCCTTCTTCTCGATGGCTACCAGGCTGCATGGCCTCGGCTCACCTCTCCCTTACCCAGCCGCCCCCTCCCAGGCATTTAGCCTGTGTCCAGCCCCAGGAGCCGCCGGCACCTTCCCACAAATGTCCTGCCTCTACATCGTGGCACCCTGGTGGGACTCGGTGGTGGGAGAGATCCCTGGAAGTAGAATTGCTGGGTGAAGAGCATTTTATTGGTTGAGGGTGGCTGGATGAGTCTCTCCAGCAGTCACAGGCACCTCCCTTCCCACCCCCAGCTGGACGACTTCACAGGAAGGACTGAAGAACGGGGGGCCTGCAGCCCAGGGCAGGCCTGGCTGTGGCACCTGGCACACGGGGTTTCCTGTGGGGCTGGCACTCACCACAGCCCCTGCCCACGGGTTGGAGCGCTCTGGCAGCAGGACTCTGTGGCCATGAAGGCGGGAGGGAGGGCTTGGCTCGCTCCCCAGGCGTGTTGATGGACACGCAATTAACCTGCCTGTGGTTATGTTGGCACTGAACTGGAACAGGAAGTTAGCATATAAACCAGAGCCTTTCAAGTTATGACAAATTCATCAAACAAATGAACCCGTGAGCACAGAGGGCGGTGTGCGTCCAGCCTCTGTGCGCTCCGGTGGAGATAAGCGTCCACTCTGCTGGGAGGACCAAGGCCCTTTCCAGCCTTTCCCCTGAGCTCCAGGCCCGTGTCTTTCTGGCCCCAAACAGAACCATGCCCGGGGCAGAGACGGGGGCTGGTCTGGAGCAGACACAGGCAGGTGGTCACGTCCCACCAGTGACTCCACACATCTCTCTGGGCCTCAATTTCCCCAGCTCTCTGGGGAGAGGCCGCTTCCATGATTGGCCCGGCAATGTCTGATTTCCCTTCTGAGTTCCAGACGCCAGCTTTGACCCAGTCCTGCTAAAACCCGACAGCATCCCAGCTGACCCTGCTGTGAGAGCAGCTTCCAGAGCCGGTTCCCTCCTGGGGCGGCGTGCTTAGCAACACCCAGGGGGCAGCCCTCCCTGGCCTCCGTGCCAGCCTGTGCTCAGCGATGGTGCTTATCGGGCCGGGGAGTGTCCTTTAAGTCAGGGGTCCCCAACCCCTGGGCCACGGACCTGTTGGTGTCCTGTTAGGAACCGGACTGCACGTCAGCAAGTGAGCTGCGGGTGAGTAAGCGTCCCCGCCTGAGCTCCGCCTCCCGTCAGATCAGCGGTGGCGTTGGATTCTCATAGGCGCGGAACCTGAGAACCCTATTGTGAACTGCGTGTGTGAGGGATCTGGGCTGCACCCTTCTTATGAGACTCTAATGCCTGATGATCTGAGGTGAAACAGTTTCATCCCGAAACCACCACCACCCTCACTGCCCATGGAAAGATTGCCTTTCACGAAACCCATCCTGGGTGCCAAACAGGTTGGGGACCGCTGCTTTAAGTTGTAAGCCCAGCACAGGTTTCTAAATGGCCCCACGCTGCGGCAGAGCTGGGACGGCGGCCTCCAGGCAGGGGCGCCTGCAGGTGCCCGTTCAGGTGGGGGCCTCTGGTCAACCCCTTCACTGGATATGAAGGAACTGAGCCTGGGAGCTCTTGGCTCTCACTCAGGGTTACTCAGCTCACACTGCGGGCAGCGCTGGGACTGGGGGAAGCCCCCTCGCAGACCTCCTGGGCAGCCCAGGAAGAGCCGCTCTGGCCTTCCCAGCCTGTTGGACCCGAGACCTCAGGCCACTGCGGTGCTGAGGTCAGAAGAAGCAAGACAGGAGCCTCTCTTGGGGCTGAGGCTGGAGGCTGGTGGTGTCGTGAAAGGGTCCCCAAGCCAGTGTCCCCTAGCTGTCACGAGGTGAGGGGGTATCATCCCTGGGCAGGGCTCCTGCACCCCTGCCCTGTCCTGTGTCTGTGGCGCTGCCAGCAGCCCCTCCTGTCCCCAACACAGCCCCTGTCCTGGCTGCCCCCGTGCAGGTCCAGGCCCCTCCCTGGCTGTTGAACTCAGACACCACACCCAGGTGTCTGGGATTGATGGTGCAGGAGGAAGCACCTTGGGCCTGTTACAGATGCGGTTCCACCCGCTGTGGACCGGCCCTGGGTCCCCCCAAGAGGTACACTGAAGTCCTGATCCCCAGCGCCTGAGACTGCGGCCTTATTTGGAAACAGGGTCTTTGCAGATGTGACCGAGTGAAGATGAGAGAACCTGCCTGCGGCTGTGTTGGCAGCTGAACTGGAAGAGAATTTCGTTTTATTACCAAGGCCCTGATCCAGTGACTCTCATCCTTATAGAGGGACATTTTCACACAGGGACACTTGGAGGGGAGAGAAGGCTGCGTGAAGATGGAGTCAGAGATGGGAGTGGCGTCCACAAGGGTCGCTGGGAGCCACCAGGAGCTGGGGGAGAGGCCTGGGCCAGGTTCTCCTGCAGAGCCTCAGACAGAACCAGCCCTGCCGACATCTTGGCCTCAGGCTTCAGGCCTCTAGAGCCACAAGAAAATGAATTTCTGTTGTGGTTTTTTTGGTTTTTTGGAGACGGAGTCTCGCTCTGTCACCCAGGCTGGAGTGCAATGGCGCAATCTCAGCTCACCACAACCTCCTTCCCAGGTTCAAGTGATTCTCCTGCTTCAGCCTCCTGAGCAGCTGGGATTACAGGCATACGCCACCACGCGCAGCTCATTTTTTGTATGTCTAGTAGAGATGGGGTTTCTCCATGTTGGTCAGGCTGGTCACGAACTCTTGACCTCAGGTGATCCACCCGACTCGGCCTCCCAAAGTGCTGGGATTATAGGCGTGAGCCACCTCGTCCGGCCAAATTTCTGTTGTTTGAAGCCCTCAGTTTGTGGTGGTTTGGTACGGCAGCCGCAGGACATGCATACGACCCCCTCCCGTTTTCCCTTCCCTTCCCTTTAGTAGGAGCCAAGGAACCAGCTAGCACCTTGCATGGTGGGAGGAGAGATAGGAGGTCGGGGAGCAAGGCATGCGATCAGGGGAGCAGGGAGGAGGCATCCTGGGGAGGTGGAGCCGCTTCTTCCCATGGGCGAGGGGGGTCACAAAGAAGGAGGCGCCTGGCTGTGTTGGTCAGTGGGGATGAGGGTCCTAACCAGACATGGAAAGGAGGAGGCTGGAGTCAGCTCTCTGGTGCTGGACTACAGTTACAGTATTGGTGCGAATGCGTGTGGCTTTTCTTTTTCTTTTTTTTTTGAGACGGAGTCTTACTGTGTCACTCAGGCTATAGTGCAATGGCGTGATCTCAGCTCACTGCAACCTCCGCCTCCCGATTCAAGAGATTCTCCTGCCTCAGTCTCCTGAGTAGCTGGGATTACAGGCATGCGCCACCACGCCCAGCTAATTTTTGGATTTTTAGTAGAGGCGGGGTTTCACCACGTTGGCCAGGGCTGGTCTCAAACTCCTGACCTTGTGATCTGCCTGCCTCGTCCTCCCAAAGTTCTGGGATTACAGTTATGAGCCACTGCACCCAGTCTCTCTCTCTCTCTTTTTTTTTTAAGGGTCTCACTCTTGTTGCCCATGCTGGGGTGCAGTGGCAGGATCAAGGCTCACTGTAACCTCCAACTCCTGGGCTCAACTGATCCTCCCTCCTCAGCCTCCTGAGTGGCTTGGACTACAAGCATGAGCCACCATGCCCGGCTTCATGCTTTTTCATATAGTAGATGGATATAGCGAGGTAGAGGCGTGTGTGTGTGTGTGTGTGTGCACAGTTCCTAGCTCTGCCTGTCAGAAGGACCCAGAAACAATGAAGTCTCAGTAGTCATGTGCACACCCGGTGCCCTGCCCAGATCTAAATTCCGTTTCCCACTAACAGGAACAGGGGTTCTTTGGAGAGAAGGCTACATCCAGGGCTGGGGCAGGGAATGTTTGAGATGAGCCTGGGATATCCTGTTGTGCCAGAAAGTCAGGAAGCACCCAAGGAAACAGGCTGGGCGTGGTGGCTCATGCCTGTAATCCCAGCACTTTGGGAGGCCAAGGTGGGAAGATTGCTTGAGCCCAGGAATTTGAGAACAGCCTAGCCAACATGGCAAAACCCCGTCTCTACAAACAAACACACACAGAAAATTAGCTGAGCACGGTCTGTATTAGTCTGTTATTACGCTGCTAATAAAGACATACCTGAGTCTGGGTAACTTATAAAGGAAAGAGGTTTAATGGACTCACAGTTCCACATGGCTGGGGAGGCCTCACAATCGTGGTGGAAGGTGAAGGAGGAGCAAAGTCTCGTCTCACATGGAGGCAGGCAGAGAGCGTGTGCAGGGGAACTCCCCTTTATAAAACCATCAGATCTCGTGAGACTTATTTACTACCTCATGAAAACAGCACAGGAAAGACCCAACCCCATGATTCAATTCCTCCCACTGGGTCCTTCCCTCCATGCAGGGGAATTATGGGAACTACAATTCAAGATGAGATTTGCGTGGGGACACAGCCAAACCATATCAGTGTCACATGTCTGTGGTCCCAGGTACTCGGGAGGCTGAAGCAGGAGGATCGCTTGAGCTGGGGCAGTCGAGGCTGCAATGAGCCAAGACTGCACCACTGCACTCCAGCCTGGGCAACAGAGTGAGACCATCTTAAAATAAATAAATAAAAGAGGCCGGGTGCGGTGGCTCACGCCTGCAATCCCAGCACTTTGGGAGGCCGAGGCGGGTGGATCATGAAGTCAGGAGATCGAGACGATCCTGGCTAACACGGTGAAACCCCATCTCTACTAAAAATATAAAAAATTAGCTGGGCGTGGTGGTGGGTGCCTGTAGTCCCAGCTACTCGGGAGGCTGAGGCAGAAGAATGGTGTGAAGCCGGGAGGCGGAGCTTGCAGCGAGCCGAGATCGTGCCACTGCACTCCAGCCTGGGCAACGCACCTCAAAAAATAAAAATAAATAAAAATAAAAAATAAATAAATAAATAAAAGATGGAGATGTGTCAAAAGGCAAGAGATGGCTCAAGGGGCTTCCCTCTGGCGAAACCTAGAAAAATTTATACATAAATGGGGGGTGCAGCAGAAGGAATAATGGAATTAGAAAACTTCCATTTGGCATGGCTGGGCATGGTGGCTCACACCTGTAATCCCAGCACTTTTGGAGGCTGAGGCAGGTGGGATCAGCTGAGGTCAGTAGTTAGAGACCAGCCTGGCTAACATGGTGACACCCTGTCTCTACTAAAAATACAAAAAATTAGCTGGACATGGTGGTAGGCACCTGTAATCCCAGTGGCTCAGGAGGCTGAGGCAGGAGAATCACTTGAACCCGGGAGGCAGAGGTTGCAGTGAGCCGAGACTATGCCACTGTACTCCATCCTGGGTGACAAAAGTGAAAGTCCATCTCAAAAAAAAAAAAAGTGGGCCTGGCACGGTGGCTCACGCCTGTAATCCCAGCACTTTGGGAGGCAGAGGTGGGCAGATTACAAGGTCAGGAGTTAGAGACCAGCCTGGCTAATATGGTGAAACCCTGTCTCTACTAAAAATACAAAAAATTAGCCGGGGGTGGTGACGGCGCCTGTAGTCCCAGCTACTCAGAAGGCTGAGGCAGGAGAATCGCTTGAACCAGGAGGCAGAGGTTGCAGTGAGCCGAGATCGCGCCACTGCACTCCAGCCTGGGCCACAGAGCAAGACTCCGTAAAAAAAAAAAACAAAACAAACAAGCAAAAAAACAAAAACAGAGAATTTAAAAAGGTGGTAAAATATGAACGCTTGGCGATTCTGGGTGACTGGGATCTAGCAGCTCTTTGTACAATTCTAACCACTTTTTTGTAAGTTGGAAGTCATTCAAAAGCATGAAGCTACAAATAACAAAACCCTGTTTAGGTATGAAAAGACAAAGTACAGACTGGAAGAAGATTTCTGTAAACCACAGATATCAAACCAAGGGCTAGTATCTAAAATATGTAAAGAATGCTTAAAGCTCAAAGGTGAAAAAACAAACAATTCAATTGGAAAGTGAGCTAAAGACATGAACAGACATTTCACTAGAGAGGTTATACAGATGGCAAATAAGCACGTGAAAAGATGTTCAACATCATCAGTGGTCAGGAAAATGCAAACTAAAAAACACAGTGAGATACCAGCACACGCCTATCAGGATGGTTAAAGTAAAAAATAGTCATGAAACCAAATGTTGGCAAGGATGTGGAGAAACCGAATTACTTGTGTGTTACTGGTGGGAATGTAAAATGACACAACCTCTCCAGAAGATAGTTTGGCAGTTTCTTTAAAAATTAAACATATTGGAGAAACCCCATCTCTACTAAAAATACAAAAATTAGCACGGCATGGTGGTGCATGCCTGTAATCCCAGCTACTCAGGAGGCTGAGAAAGGAGAATCACTTGAACTTGGGAGGCGAAGGTTGTAGTGAGTGGAGATCGCGCCACTGCACTGCAGCCTGGGTGACGGAGTGAGACTTCATCTCAAAAAAAAAAAAAAAAAAAAAAATTAAACTTGTAACTACTAAACAGCCCTGCAATTGTATTCCTAGGCATTTGTCCCAGAGCAAAGATTTATGTTCACACAAAATCCTGAACATCAATGTACACAGCAGCTCTGTTCATAAGAGCTGAAAGCAGAAAGAACCCAGATGCCTTTCAGTGGGTGAATGGTCAAAGACACTGTGGTACCTCCACACCCTGGAATATCACTCAACAAAGAAATGAATGAGCTCTTGGCCAGGCACGGTGCCTCACGCCTGTAATCCCAGCACTTTGGGAGGCCGAGGCGGGCGGATCATTTAAGGTCAGGAGTTCGAGACCAGCCTGGCCAATATGGCAAAACCCCATCTCTACTAAAACTACAAAAATTAGCCGGGTGTGGTGGTGGGTGCCTGTAGTCCCAGCTACTTGGGAGGCTGAGGCAGGAGAATCACTTGAACCCGGGAGACAGAGGTTGCAGTGAGCTGAGATAGCGCCACTGCATTCCAGCCTGGGTGACAGAGTGACACTCTGTTTCAAAAAGAAAGAGAGAAAGAGAGAGAGAGAGGAAGGGAATGAGGGAGGGAGGGAAGGAGGAAGGAAGGAAGGAAGGAAGGAAGGAAGGAAGGAAGGAAGGAAGGAAGGAAGGGGCTCTTGACACCGCAGCCCGGATGGATTTCCAGAGAATTATGCTAAGAGAAAACAGCCCATCCCACCACGGGGCTCAGGAGAGGATGGAGGGCTGGTGGGTGTGGCTGTAAACAGGTGACACCGAGACCCTTGTGGCGATGGAAAGCCTGGGTGTCTTGGCGATCCCTATGCCAGTATCCTCGCTATCCTTGCTGGGGCATTGTAGTACAGTTCTGCAAGATGTTACCATTGGGGGAAATGGGGAAAAGGGTATGTGGGATCACTGTGTTAGTTCTATTTTTTTTTTTTTTTTGAGACGGAGTTTCACTCTTGTTGCCCAGGCTGGAGTGCAGTGGTGCAATCTCGGCTCACCGCAACCTCCGCCTCCCAGGTTCAAGCGATTCTCCTGCCTCAGCCTCCTGAGTAGCTGGGATTAGAGGCACGTGCCACCACGCCCAGCTAATTTTGTATTTTCAGTAGAGATGGGGTTTCTCCATGTTGGTCAGGCTGGTCTCAAACTCTCGACCTCAGGTGATCCTCCCGCCTTGGCCTCCCAAAGTGCTGGGATTACAGGCATGAGCCACCATGCCCAGCCTACTGTGTTATTTCTGATAACTGCATGTGAATCTACAATTATTCCAAATGAAAAAGCTTACCAAAAAAATCCTGGTGTGTTTGTGTGTGTGTGTGCACGTGTTCACGTGCATGTGTGTGCGTGTGTGATTTTACATAATTGCTACATATTGTTGGCCAAGGCTCTGCCTATTGGCAAATTCCCAAGTCGATTCTGAGACTAATGCTCAGGAGAACTCCCGGGTCTACAGAGAAGATGAAGATGCGTATCTTCCCAAGTCCTCCACCTCCACTAGGCCACGACCTCCCACTGCAATTCCACTTCTGTTATTTGAGAATGTGCTGGGAGCCAGGCACTGGGCTGGAGCCGGGAATACACAGCAGGCGGGACCTGCTGTCACGTGCAGCTCCCAGGCTAGGAGGGGACGCAGACGAGGTTGGTGCACAAAGACAGTCCAGGAAGCAAGGCCAGTTCCCAGGGACCACAGTCCCCCCAGCCCCAGCTTCCATCCCCCATGCCTCGCAACCCCACCCCCGCCACAACCGCATGGGGCTGTCTTTTACTCTCATGGGACCCCTGCTCAGACCAAGTTCATCATCACCCCACACCCAGCCAGAACCTGGGATCCAGTTTCCAATCATCACCTGTTCACCCCTCACTTACCAAGGCTTGGTGTGAGGACCTCCAGGAAGGGACCTCAAGTGCACAGCAGGTGAGCAGTGGCCCCGCGTGGAGCAGAGCACGGAGCAGTGGCTCTTTGTCCGCCACTGCCTCCACCACGCCCCTGCTGCCCTTTAGCCCGCACTGCCTTGACCACTCACACACTGGGAAAACCAGGAGAAAGTTACACTGATGCCTCTGAGTAAGGTTCCCCAGGAACCTGCACCAGAATCACTAAGGGAGCCTATTCTGCCAGCTTCCTGGGCCCCCACCCCAAGTGAAGAAACCAAATTTCCTGGCTGGGAATCAGAATTTAACAGGAGCTCTCCCAGAAGAATCCCACCTGTGGACAGGAGTCTCCGCAGCGTGACTCTCGCCCCTGGGGCTTTGGACTCTGCCGCAGAGTGACAGAAATTCAGAAAACGTTTCCCTCATGTAGCAATTTGACAACAAAACATGTTCACCAGGCTTGCCACAGTGGCTCACGCCTGTAACCCCAGCACTGTGGGAGGCCGAGGCGGGCGGATCACGAGGTCAGGAAATCGAGACCAGCCTGGCCAACATGGCGAAACCCCGTCTCTACTAAAAATACAAATAATTGGCCAGTCGCAGTGACTCTCGCCTGTAAACCCAGCACTTTGGGAGGCCGAGGCGGGCAGATCACGAGGTCAACAGATCGAGACCAGCCTGGCCAACATGATGAAACCCCGTCTCTATTAAAAATACAAACAAACTTGTAATCCCAGCACTTTGGGAGGCCAAGGCGGGCGGATCACGAGGTCAGGAGATCGAGACCAGCCTGGCCAACATGGTGAAACCACATCTCTACTAAAAATACAAAAGTTAGCTGGGCTTGGTGGTGCATGCCTGTAGTCCCAGCTACTTGGGAGGCTGAGGCAGGAGAATCACTTGAACCCGGGAGATGGAGGTTACAGTGAGCCGAGATCACGCCATTGCACTCCAGCCTGGGTAACACAGCGAAACTCCGTCTTAAAAAAAAAAAAATACAAACAGGCCGGGCGCGGTGGCTCGCGTCTGTAATCCCAGCACTTTGGGAGGCCGAGGCAGGCGGATCACGAGGTCAGGAGATCGAGACCATCCTGGCTAACACGATGAAACCCCGTCTCTACTAAAAATACAAAAAATTAGCCGGGTGTGGTGGCGGGCGCCTGTAGTCCCAGCTACTCGGGAGGCTGAGGCAGGAGAGTGGCGTGAACCCGGGAGGTGGAGCTGGCAGTGGGCCAAGATGGCGTCACTGCACTCCAGCCTGGGTGACAGAGCGAGACTCCATCTCAAAAAATAAAATAAAAATAAAAATACAAACAATTAGCTGGGCGTGGTGGCGCATGCATCAAACAAAACAAAACAAAACAAAAAAACGCCACCAGGCCCACATGGTCTCAAATAATTTTTTTTTTTTTTTTGAGATGGAATCTCGCTCTGTCGCCCAGGCTGGTGTGCCGTGGCGTGATCTTGGCTCACTGCAAGCTCCGCCTCCCGGGTTCAAGTGATTCTCTGTCTTCAGCCTGCCAAGTAGCTGGGACTACAGGTGCCCACCACTGCACTGGGCTAATTTTTTGGTTTTTTAGTAGAGATGGGGTTTCACCATGTTAGCCAAGATGGTCTCGATCTCCTGACCTTGTGATCCACCCACCTCTGCCTCCGAAATTGCTGGGATTACAGGCGTGAGCCACCGCGCCCGGCCGACCAGGCTGGTCTTGAACTCCTGGCCTCAAGCAGTCCTCCCGCCCTCCCAAAGTGTTGGGAGAGATTACAGGCGTGAGCCACTGCACCTGGCTCTTACTCTTAATTTCCAAGTGATCTCATTATAGTCAAAGAATGTGAACGGTATGGTTTCTGCTTGTAACCTATTGAGATTTATCTGTTTTTTTTTTTTTGAGACAGAGTTTCACTCTTGCTGCCCAGGCTGGAGTGCAATGGCGCGATCTCGGCTCACGGCAACCTCCGCCTCCCGGATTCAAGCGATTCTTCTGCTTCAGCCTCCCGAGTAGCTAGGATTACAGGCATGCACCACCAAGCCTGGCTAATTTTGTATTTCTTTTCAGTAGAGACGGGGTTTCTCCACGTTGGTCAGGCTGGTCTCGAACTCTTGACCTCAGGTGATCCATCAGCCGTGGCCTCCCAAAGTGCTGGAATTACAGGTGTGAGCCACCACACCCGACCTGAGATTTCTTTTGTGGTCCAATAAATGATCAATTCTGGGGACTGATTTATGTGTGAAAATAATATAGTCTCTGTTCACTGATTATAAAGTTCCATTATATAGATCTGTTGGATCAAGTTTGTTATTTGTTTTTCTTTTTTTTCTTTTCTTTTTTTCTCTTTTTTTTTTTTTTTGAGATGGAGTCTCTCTCTGCAGCCCAGGCTGGAGTGCAGTGGGACAATCTTGGCTCACTGCAAGCTCTGCCTCCTGGGTTCACGCCATTCTCCTGCCTCAGCCTCCCGAGTAGCTGGGACTACAGGCGCCTGCCACCATGCCTAGCTAATTTTTTTTTTTTTGTATTTTTTAGTAGAGACGGGGTTTCACCCTGTTAGCCAGGATGGTGTCCATCTCCTGACCTCATGATCCGCCCGCCTTGGCCTCCTAAAGTGCTGGGATTACAGGCGTGAGCCACCGCGCCCGGCCTATTTGTGCTTTTCAAATCTATTATATCCCTAATTGCTTTGGGTCCGCTTGGTGTCTCAATGTCTGAGACCAAATGTGGATTTATTAATAGTGTACTTCTATAATTTTTTGCTCTGTTTTGAAGATATGTTGGTTGGTCCACAGTAGTTCACAATTGGTGTGGCCGACTCTGTAGAAAGAGGCTTGTCACCTACTCCCACCCTTCTCTTTGCCTTCCTCTTCTCTACTCAAGGGAAATGCCCAGATTCCTGGTCTCCCTCACAGATAGGGGTGTCCACATAACCTGGTTCTGGCCAAGGAGATGTAGGCAGAAAGAGAGAAGCTTTGTGGGGATGGCCTGTTGCCTCAGCTCTTCCTTCTTCTTCTGGAACAGGATATCATAACTAGGGGGGCGGCAACCATCCTGTAACCACGAGGACAGAAGCCGAAAGCCACCAAGAGACAGAACCCTTATCTGAGATGATGTCACCAGTGGCTGCATTCACCTTGGACTACTACCCCCTTCCATTGCACTGCGTGAGACAAACCCGTGCGCTGGGAAGTTTTCTGTCATTTGCAGCTGGTCGGTTACAGAAGCAGCCCATCCAGCTGGCGTATCTCTGTGAGGGTTGTAGCGGAAATCATATAGGTTTCTACCCATCCCATGTTTTTGGTCTTTATTTCTTTGGGTCTTTTATTAATATTACGATAGCTGCTCTTTTTTTGCTAGCATTTGTCTGTTTTTATTGAAGGATAATAAACATATATCAAAGTACGCCTATTTTCAATATACTGCCCTGTGAATGCTCACATAATGAACACACCCGTGCAGCCTACACCTAGGTCAAAAAACAGGACCTTTGTGTGGGGTGACTTTTTCCCTCTTTCCAGTTTCAGTGTTTCTGCAGTATCTTCTACTGGGAGGTGTGTGCAGGTCACAGAGCCTCTGCCTCAAACGGGCCTCCATGATCAAGAAGCAGAACGTTTCACAAGACTGAGGTGGGCAGGTGCAGGGGCAGCACTCAGAGGCCCCAGCGCCTCCTGGTCCTGAGTCCTTCCACCTCTCAGCTCTGACTCAGGACAGGAGCAAGTCAGCTGACAGGCGCTGCGGCAGAGGCAGGCGTCCCACTTACACCCGGGGGATCCAGAGGAAGGGGAGAGCATCTCCTTCAGCAGCCCTGGGGCACACGGCCCTTGTGTCCAGCGTGCAACTCTTGCCCCACATCCACCCATCCTGGCTGTGACCATGGTCACCGTGATTGACCCGGGCCCCACTTGGCACTGATGAAGTCTAAGGACCCCTTCTGAAAAGTGTTTTTTAAAATAAAGTATATAGGATTATAAAGAGAACCAATTACACTGCAATACAATAATAAATGTATATGAGTTTGCATATATATATATATATATATTTTTTTTTTTCTTGTCTTGCTTTCTTTCTTAATTTCTTTTTTGAGACAAGGTCTTGCTCTGTTGCCCAGGCTGGAGTGCAGTGGCACAATCATGGCTCACTGCAGCCTGGAACTCCTGGCCTCAAGCAATCCTCCTGCCTCAGCCGCCTAAGTATCTGGGACTACAGGCACGCACCACCATGCCTAGCTAATTTTTAAATTTTTTGTAGAGACACAGGGGCTCCCCATGTTGCCCACGCTGGTCTTGAATTCCTGGACTCAAGCAATCTTATTTCCGCAGCCTCCCAAAGCACTGGGATTACAGCATGAGCTACCACACCCTGCCCCTGCATATATTTTTTATACTTGTACACATTAATGCATATTAATTATACATATTAATGCATCACAAAAGTTCTGGTACATGCAATACATGTGTTTGTGATGAACAGAAACAGTATTTTGAGATATCTGTGGCCAGCTGCAGTGGCTGACGCCTATAATTCCAGCACTTTGGAGGCCGAGGCAGGTGGATTACTTGAGATCAGGAGTTTAAGACCAGCCTGGCTGGCTGGGCGTGGTGGCTCACGTCTGTAACCCCAGCACTCTGGGAGGCCGAGGTGGGCCGACCATGAGGTCAGGAGATCAAGACCATCCTGGCCAACATGGTGAAATCCCGTCTCTACTAAAAATACAAAAATAAGCCAGACGTGGTGGCGTGCGCCTATAGTCCCAGCTCC
The DNA here is from genome assembly GCF_000001405.40 of Homo sapiens. Lineage (NCBI taxonomy): Eukaryota > Metazoa > Chordata > Mammalia > Primates > Hominidae > Homo > Homo sapiens. The sequence goes on along the minus strand of NW_025791805.1, from coordinate 8,098 downwards.
TTGGGAGGCTGAGACAGGAGAATCGCTTAAACCCGGGAGGCAGAGGTTGCAGTGAGCCGAGATGGCGCCACTGCACTCCAGCCTAGGCGACAGGGCAAGACTCCGTTTCCAAAAAAAGATATCTGCAACAATCGCAGCATGATTTGAGTCATTTTAGTTATTTTAGTTATGTCATACATTCATCACTGAAGGAAATGTCAAATTTTGGTTAGAGACCAGTGAAAATAAATAATGAGTTGGGGCTGATTAGAAAAAAAAAGAAAGTGGGGCGGGGTGAGGTGGCTCATGTCTGTAATCCCAGCACTTTGGGAGGTCAAGGAGGGAGGATCACTTGAGGCCAGGAGTTTCAGACCAGCCTGGAAAACATAGCAAGACCTCATCTCTACAAAGCAAACATGAAAAATTAGCTGGGTGTAGTGGCTCAAACCCTCTGGTCCCAGCTACTTGGGAGGCTGAGGTGGGAGGATTGCGTGACCCTGGGAGGTGGAGGCTGCAGTGACTCCTGTGCTGTACTACAGTGACCCTGCTGCTGTACTCCCTGTCTCAAAACACTCCACAAAACCAAACGAGCCCAATTTTTTATTTATTTATTTATTTATTTTTGAGACGGAGTCTTGCTCTGTCACCCAGGCTGGAGTACAGTGACGCGATCTCGGCTCACTGCAAGCTCCGCCTCCTGGGTTCACGCCATTCTCCTGCCTCGGCCTCCCAAGTAGCTGGGACTACAGGCGCCCGCCACCACGCCCGGCTAATTTTTTGTATTTTTAGTAGAGATAGGGTTTTACCGTGTTAGCCAGGATGGCCTCGATCTCCTGACCTCGTGATCCACCCGCCTCGGCCTCCCAAAGTGCTGCGATTGAGAGGTGACAGCGTGTGGCAGTCCTCACAGCCCTCGCTCGCTGTCGGCGCCTCCTCTGCCTGGGCTCCCACTGGCGGCACTTGAGGAGCCCTTCAGCCCGCCGCTGCACTGTGGGAGCCCCTTTCTGGGCTGGCCAAGGCCGGAGCCGGCTCCCTCAGCTTGCGGGGAGGTGTGGAGGGAGAGGCGCGAGAGGGAACTGGGGCTGCGTGCGTCGCTTGCGGGCCAGCTGGAGTTCCGCGTGGGCTTGGCGGGCTCCGCACTCGGAGCAGCCGGCCGGCCCTGCCAGCCCCGGGCAATGAGGGGCTTAGCACCCGGGCCAGCGGCTGCGGAGGGTGTGCTGGGTCCCCCAACAGTGCCGGCGCACCGGCGCTGCGCTGGATTTCTCGCCAGGCCTTAGCTGCCTTCCCGTGGGGCAGAGCTGGGACCTACAGCCTGCCATGCCTGAGCCTCCCGTCCCCGCCCCGCGCCCCCCACCCGTGGGCTCCTGTGCAGCCCGAGCCTCCCCGACGAGCGCCACCCCCTGCTCCACGGCGCCCAGTCCCATCGACCACCCAGGGGCTGAGGAGCGTGGGCGCACGGCGCGGGATTGGCAGGCAGCTCCACCTGCAGCCCCAGTGCGAGATCCACTGGGTGAAGCCAGCTAGGCTCCTGAGTCTAGTGGGAACTTGAAGAACTTTATGTCTAGCTAAGGGATTGTAAATACACCAATCGGCACTCTGTATCTAGTCCAAGTTTTGTAAACACACCAATCAGCACCCTGTGTCTAGCTCAGGGTTTGTGAATGCACCAATCGACACTCTGTATCTAGCTACTCTGGTGGGGCCTTGGAGAACCTTTGTGTAGACACTCTGTATCTAGCTAATCGGGTGGGGACGTGGAGAACCTTTGTGTCTAGCTCAGGGATTGTAAACACACCAATCAGTGCCCTGTCAAAACAGACCACTGGGCTCTACCAATCAGCAGGATGTGGGTGGGGCCAGATAAGAGAATAAAAGCAGGCTGCCCGAGCCAGCAGTGCCAACCTGTTCTGGTCTGCTTACACGCTGTGGAAGCTTTGTTCTTTCGCTTTTTGCAATAAATCTTGCTACTGCTCACGCTTTGGGTCCACACTGCCTTTATGAGCTGTAACACTCACCCCGAAGGTCTGCAGCTTCACTCTTGAAGCCAGCGAGACCACGAGCCCACCGGGAGGAAGGACAACTCCAGACGCGCTGCCTTAAGAGCCGTAACACTCACCGCGAAGGTCCGCAGCTTCACTCCTGAGCCAGCGAGACCACGAACCCACCAGAAGGAAGAAACTCCGAACGCATCTGAATATCAGAAGGAACAAACTCCAGACACGCCGCCTTTAAGAACTGTAACACTCACCGTGACGGTCCACGGCTTCATTCTTGAAGTCAGTGAGACCAAGAACCCACCAATTCCAGATACAGGATTACAAGTGTGAGCCACCGTGCCCGGCCTCTATTTATTTTTTATAATTTTTGAGACAGAGTCTTACTTTGTTGTCCAGGTTGGAGTGCAATGACGCAGTCCTGGCTCACTGCAACTTCTGCCTCCCGGATTCAAGTGATTCTCCTGCCTCAGCCTCCTGAGTAGCTGGGATTACAGGCACCCGCCACCACGCCCAGCTCATTTTTGTATTTTTAGTAGGGACAGGGTTTCACCATGTTGGTCAAGCTGGTCTCAAATGCCTGACCTCAAGCAATCCACCCGCCTTGGCCTCCCAAAATGCTGGGATTACAGGCGCGAGCCACTGTGCCCAGCCCCAAAGCTTATTTTTATTTGTTCACATGAATGCAGTTTTCTTGGTTATTATTTCTGAATCTTCTTGTAAATTTTTGAATACTACCTAAAATTATGAGGAAGGAAGCAAAAATCTGAGTTCACTTCCCCAGATTCTTTTTTTAAAGAACAAAATCTCTTTTCTCTCTGAAGCTATTACTGGTGTTTTTGAACACTGTGTGTTCTGAAACTCTTGCTCAGTGCAAGTTACACAACTGTAGCAAATAGACCCCAAACGTAGCTGCCCATGCCAGCCCGCGGCTTATTTATCCCTGACCTGCCCAAGCAAGTGCTCCTGCGGGGTGGGGCCTGGTTGGGCCCCAGGCTGAAGGCTGCCCTGTCATCTTGCACATTTGTCTTCCACAGTCTCTCTGATGTGCCCATTTCAGCCATCAGAAGGGGGAACCCTAAAAGCCTCCTGGAAGGGTGACCTGCTCCTGAAACTGGTGCACACTGCTTCTGCCAGATTCTGTTGGACACCACGGTTACCCAGCCACACCTACTGCGAGGGAGCCTGGGAATGCAGACCAGCCAGGGGCCCCATGAGAAGGGGTAACGGCTTCTGTTGGACAGCCGGACGGCAGCCAGCCAGCCCTTGGCCTCCAGACATCTGTGAGACCCACCCTTCCTCCACACATCGTGTTAGAAAAAGTCACCATCATCTCCAGGGAGAAGACCCAGCCCAAAGCCTGCCTCTCTAGGATGGGCAGAGCCTTTCCGTGGGTCCCGATGACTGTCTTCCGGGTCCAACTGACAGATGATTCATTAAGCCATCTGCTCCCCTCCCCCCGCAACCTGAGCCTTCATCTGATCTTTGCCGTAGGCCTGCACACTTTTGTTGGACTGAGCTGCCTGAGTGACAGGCCTTGAACAGCCACCATCTTTTCTCCTACTGTTTGAGGCATAAACAGTGGCTTTTTCAACCTGGGAGTCCCAACTTTCTGGGGTAACTCTAATTGCAAACCGGCCCTCAATTTCTGGAAACAGTAGTCAAGCTACAGGGAATGAGTGCCTCGCGCTAACCTTCTGGCTCTTTCCTCCCTCTTCCCAGCGTTCCCAAGCCTTTACCTCGGCACACCAGGGGACGTGTGGCATCATCTTCAATTCACCACATCCGTTTCCCTGTATCCCCAAGTGCCAGGGCAGGTGTATCAGTCGGCTTTTGCCACAACAGTGCTGCATAACGACGACCTTAAAGCTTGGTGGCCGAGTCTCACGCTCACAGGGCTAGGGCCGACCTCCACCTGGCCAAGCCCCTGGCCTCCGGGTTCTGGGATGTGGGCTGGGCTGAGGTCCGCCCAGGTTTCTCGCTTCTTGGAGCCCCCGTCAGTTATCTGCGTTCTCCATTCTTCTCTGGGGCACAGCCTGCTTGTAGTGGGTCCCTGGCAAGCAGGAAGACCAGGCTGCCCTTGCTGGCACATTCCAAACCTTTGCCCATTTCAAATCTGCTACCTTCCCACTAGCCAGAGCACGTCACTCGCCAAGCCCAAAGTCAAGGGAGGAGAGCCCACCCACCACCTAGAGACCACAGCAAGCAGACGGATGTAAAATTCTGCTACGGGGGAGTGAAAAACCAATGATTAAATTGCTAATTGAATTGTAAGTTAAACTGCTCTGAGGCATAGACGCTGGTGTAAATGCCTAAACAAAAGAGAAGTGGATTTCTCTCTTGACAACCATGGCAGGGTTTCCGTTTGACAATGGCCTTGATTCTTGCAGTCACTCAGAGCCCTAGGCTGAGGGTGACTCTGCTGTCCTCAAGCGAAGCTTCCTGTGTCACCCTGGTTGTTGCCAGGCCCTGGGAAAGGAAAAGTTAATGGAGGGCCTTTTGGGCCAGTCACAGGAGAGGCACACGTCACTGCTGTCACCTCCACTGCAGGTGGCCACCTGGCCACACCCCTTGCCAGGGAACCTGGCAGATTCAGTCTAGCCCAGGCCAAGGAGGAGGGGCACCCAATCTCGCTGTACAGCGCCGGCTCTGCGCTAGTTAGTTCGCTCGTGTTAGTTCTTCAGTTTGTGGTGCGTCCTTGGGGTTGGTGATCCCAGCTTTGTGTGGGATCCCTGCTTGTCCATCAGCAGCACGTGGTCAGACACCTCAACTGTGGCTGACGGCTCAGAGCCCACGACTCCCCGCTCCCTCCAGGTGTTATTCCACAATGGGATCTCTTCTCTGTCCACTGCCTGTGCTGAGTGTACTCAGCCAAGGGTGAGGCTGCCCTCCCACAGACACCCCAGCCATCCCCCTCCCACTGTCCCAGGGCCCCTTGGCTCCTCTGGGAGCTGCCATCACCTGCCAGCAGGTTTCACTTCTGGGCACCAAGGCTGTCATTTCTTCCCTCCAGCGAGAGCAACGTCCCCACCCCCATCTCCCCAGGACTCCTCCAGATTTCTGGGCCACGGAGGGCACCCATCTTGTCCCTGCTGGTTGTAATGGACTTACAGTTTTTTTTTCTTTGTTTTTTTGGAGATGGAGTTTCACTCTCGTTGTTGCCCAGGCTGGAGTGCAATGGCGCAATCTCGGCTCACCACAGCCTCTACCTCCTGGGTTCAAGCGATTCTCCTGCCTCAGCCTCCTGAATAGTTGGGACTACAGGCATTCGCCACCAAGGCTGGCTAATTTTGTATTTTTAGTAGAGATGGGGTTTCTCCATGTTGGTCAGGCTGGTCCTGAACTCCTGACCTCAGGTGATCTGCCTGCCTCAGACTCCCAAAGTGCTGTGCTGGGATTACAGGCATGAGCCACTGTGCCTGGCCTCAGTTTTTTTTTTTTTTTTTGTCATCTCCAGGGACTGGAAACAGGAGAGGAGGGTGTCAGGAGGAACTGTATGGAGGGCTACCTTGATTAAATCCCTTCTCAGCCTCTAAACCCATTCAGGTCTCTGGCCTTGGCTGCTTAATCCCTGGGAGCCACACCATTAAGGCCATATTGATCTGGGTCTGTGGGCTGCAACCAGGGCTGGAGGAGGTCAGGATGCTAGGAGGTCCTCCCTGAGTCCCCCAGACCCTGGGGCTGCTGTGGGCCTCAGGGGACACAGCAGAGTGCCCGCCTCAGAATTCTGGTGACCCCTGGAGTGGGGAACCCCAGGGTGGAGTCTTAAAAGTTGCTGTCTAGTGGCTTTGGCAACAACAGTTGAGGGATCGTGGCTTTGGTGACAACAGTGCCAGGGACCTGAGGACTGAGAAGGCCCATGCTGGCCCGGCAGGACTCCAGCAGATCCTGGGATGTTTGTGACAAGACTGTGTTCCCTGGTGCTGGCTCCTCTGCCATGCTGTGCCTTATTTATGCCCAGGGCTCCACTTACCCTGCAGGGATGGACTGGACCCTGCAGGGAGAGGCCCTTTGAAATCTCACGGCCAGGGGCTGCTTTGCCTCTGTTTTTATTCTAGTTTGTGATTTCACTTTGACAAGGTTTGGAAACTTAGGAAAATGTGAGAAGCACGTTCCCTGAGGCCTGGGACTGCTGACACCCATATGTGCCTCCTTCTCAGTGAATTAAGACTGTGTCTATTACTTTTAAAGAAGATGCAGGACACAGCGGACCAAAGTCCTCCACCTAGAAACAGACAACCCGCTTTACATGTTTCTGTTACAGAGAAAGCGACACTCACCAGCTCTTTGGCATCCCAAAGGCAGTTTTGTCACTTTTTCCCCTGCCGTGGTGAAGGCAATCGGGGTAACAAGATAAGAAGGTCCAGGCATTCTCCACCCTTGCTGCCCTACAGGGCCTGACTGAGGGCACAGGAGGCCCTTCCCTCACCCCCTGCTCCAGGGGAGATGTGCGCTCCAGCCTGGAAGAAGACCCCCTCTGGGGAGGGCGCGGGGCACAGGCCAAGCCGCCTGGCTGTGCTCCGCTCCAGATTTCAGTGCCTGGGCCCTGGTGCGGGTGTCCTGGCATTTCCCCTCAATGCGACCCAGCTCAGGGGACAGGGGTCACTCCTCCATTCGGGGTAAGCCTGGGGCAGCGGACGCCAATCCCACGAACCCTGCCCGGGCTGGGGGCCTGGGACGCTTTCCCTGGACTCCAGGATCCGTTTGTACGGAGTCACAGAACACAGCGTTATCGCTCGTCCGAGCCCAGGTACCCTCCTTCCTTCCCGGGGCCTGCGTCGCCTGCACGTCTCTCCGCAGATCCTCGCGGAAACGTGCACAGTAGGGCTCTGAACAGAACCCAGGCTGCTCTGAGCCGAACCCTCTCCGGCCCGGGGCTGACCGTGTCCATCCAAGCCGCCGTCCCGCTCCCCGCACCCCCGACGCGGGGCCACCTCCTCCCACCTCCCTCCCCACTCAGGCGCTTCTCCCGACAGCGGAGGGAGAGTCAAAAACCCACAACCCGGCGGCGGGATCCTGCCGGCTCTAGCTGGGCGACCTGGGCGCACCCGCCGGCGACGCAGTCTCGGGTCTCAGCGCATAGAACCCGGCCGCCCGCAGCCCCTCCCGCCAGCCACGCCCCCTGGGCCTTCCATTGGCCAAGCCGCCCGCGCCTCCGCGTGATTCCATTGGCCTGCGCCGGGGGCTCAGACAAAGGGAGCAGCCGCGGAGGGCGGTGATTGGGCGGGGTTGGGGGCGGGTCGGGCGGGCGCGCGGGTCGGGCGGGAGCCGCGCGCTGGAGAGGCGGGGAGCACGGCGCTGGGGGAGGGGCGCGGTGTTTCGGGCCCGGGACCGGGAGGCGCGGGTGTGCGGCGAGGCTCGGGTGCCTTCCCTCGTGGGGGCGGGGCGGCGGGGGCGGGGCGGTTCCACGTGGGTGGGGCTGGGCGCCCCGGAGGGCGGCGGCCGCGGGGCGCGGGGCGCTGGGATCCCGCCCGCTCCTCCGCCCTGCACCCCTCCCGCCCCGGGGCTCCTGCCCGGACGGCGGCCGCCGCCGCCTCGTCTTCCCCGAGGGCTCCGCGTCCGTCTCCGCAGCTCGGCCGGGAACCTGGGAACTCGGACGCAGAAGGACGCGCCCGAGCCAGGACCCGCCGCGGGGTCCCTCTGGTGGGCCGTGGCCGGGGAGAGGACGCGGGCCCTGGCGGTCGAAGACGGACGCAGCGCCCGGAAAGGCGAGCCAGGTCTCCGGCTCCTGGCGCTTCCTGTGAGCTGGCTCGGCGGGGTGCGTCGCCGGGGAGGGAGGGACTGGCCGTGGGGCGAGCAGCCGGGCGGGGAGTGGCTTCTGGGGGCCTTCGCCAGCGGAGGGCCCGCGAGGCCGCCCTCGGAGCGCCGCCAGGTACGTGCGTTTTCCTTGTTTCCCGCGCTCCCAGAGCGCACTCTCGGTAGGGAACGAATAAAATCCCGGCTGGTGTGTAAGAGCCTTTCGCTGCAAACGTGTCTTTCTGCGGGATTCGGGGAGCCGCCGAACGCGGGGTAGACCCCGGCCCAAAGTGTTCCTGCAGCTTCCACCAGGGACCCTTCTCCACCCTCACCTTGGGCTCGGAGCGGGTGCCAGTTTGGAAATGCTTGTCTCTTCTGCAGCTCCGATT